>NC_000008.11:16829799-17132829 GCF_000001405.40 Homo sapiens | reverse complement strand
ATAAATTTTGGGAGGTCACCAACATTCAGACCGTAGCAACACCTAATAACACACTTGCAGAATATTTGCTGCTGCTTCTGGCATCTTTGAGCTCTGCCATTTCAGAGATCTGAGTTCTTAAAGGGAACATGGTTTCCACCATGAGACACAATGGTTCCACTGAATTGGAGAAAGATTTCCATTTGGCTATTCTGGACTCCTCATGCTACTGAATCAACAGGCAGAAAGGTGGATTGCTCTACTAGGTGGAGTGACTGATCCCTATTGCCAAGAGGAAACTGGGTTGCCTTTATACATTAGGGGCAAGGAAGACTATGTCTGTAACCCAGGAGACAGTTTGGGGTGTATATTAGTACTCCATATGCAATAGAAAAGTGTAGTAGAAAAGTACAGAAACCAAAATAAAAGGCAGGATAATTGAGGACTTGGAACTTTCAGGAATGAGAGTTTGAATTACTCTACCAGGTTCTGGCTGGAGGTGGGCGAAATCAATGAACAGTAGAAGAAGGAAGCCATAAGTAAAAATTAGGGCCTTGTGACCAACTGCAGAAAAAAGGGCTGTAGTCATTTTGAATATTTCCTTTTTTGCTTTTCATGTGTATGTACTTATGTATATATGCTCACATTTTCCTCTTCTTGCTCCCTTCTATTAACAAAAATTTTATATGCAAGTTGCTAGAGGTTAAATTCACAATTAGTCTTTGGGCAACAGACTATCCAGTGGAACTGTGATGATTCTAAAGGGCAATTAATATAGCCACAGCACTGTATGCAATGATTGTTGCATCTCCTCATTTTGGAGATGATGAGTATCCTGTTAGGTGAAATGTAGAGTTATTATTGTATGGCATTCAAGTGTGCGTAGAAGGTATATATGGACAGTGAGTACTCAAAGGGGCAGACTATGCTGTTTATTGATGTATTTCCTCTTAGCTCCAAATTCACCATATTTTGGCCTACTTTGTAATAAATGAAGATGGATTTTGGAAATATTTCTCCTTTGCTAGCTAGCCGAGTGTTAAACCTTGTCAGTAGAGGGTTCTGGAGGACGCTGGAGGAGGAAGGGATTTTCCTTTCCTGGTTCTGGTATGATTCACTCTCTAGGCTGTTGTAGGGCACACTCCACCCTCCCCTGCATGCTTATTCCCTGTGTGGTTTCTCCCATGCTGCAGGCTGCAATTTTCTCAAGTGTTCAGCTGGAGATTATCCGGGATTTCCCAGATGGTATGGGCCTGCACACCAAACCAAGTCACTGCTCCCCACATCTTTTCAGTCCTAGAATCCCAGGGCCGTCCTGCAGGCATGCTGGGCTCCTAGAGGGCTGCTTCTCCAGATTTCGGTTCCAGCAGTGCCCAGCCACCACCAGCTCCCTCTGACACTCAGGGAGTTCACTCTGATGATTTAAGACTCCACTTTTCTGTGGATGGCCCCCCTGGCACCCCAGAAACTTCTAGCAACTCCCACTTATGCTCCCACTTACGAGGCACCTTAGTGACTTCTCCACTATCCAGTGAATCAAAGGTGTGCCCTTTCCAAAGACATCTGGATTTCAGCCCTAGTAGGGGGAAAGCTCTATATTGGGAGCTCTATCTCAGTCTTAGCCATAACGGTTGCTCCTGATACCTGCTAGTCTTTTATTTGTTAAAATTATCTTAACTTTCACTAGTCAATTTGCCATTATTCTAATCATTTCTTACATTAAAATTTCCTTGTTTAAATGGTGGTTTTTGTCTCCTAACTGGACCCCAACTACTACATCTGGTAATACTCCTTGTCTTGGCATCATTTTGTCTGATGTTAATACAGCCACTCCAGTTTCTTATTACTGTTTACATAGGATCTTTTTTCTCTATCATTTTACATGTACTCTATCCATGTCTTTATATATAAAATACATATTTTCAAGGCAGCAGATAATCTTCATTAAAAACTGATTAACATCTGAGTTTTAGTTGGAATGTTTAGTGAACTTACATTTAACATTAATTACTAATTTGGTTGAATTTATGTAATCACTTTGCTATTTTATTCTATTTGTTGTACCCATTTTTTTGTTTCCTCCTTTCCTGCGTTATGGGTTAGCCATTTAAAAAAAATTACTGCATTTTAACTCACTTACGGTTCTATGGGTCGCAATCTATATTAACTGAATTAATACTATGCCATTGCACCTACAATACAATCTTACAACAGTATACTTCTATTTACCCCTTTCTGTCCTTTGCGATATTACCAAATAATTTAATGATAAACGCAGCAATGCATTATTTTCATTTTAAAGAGTCAATTGCCTTTTTCTTTTTCTCTTTTTTTTTTTGAGACAGAGTCTTGCTCCCAGGCTGCAGTGCAATGGTGCGATCTCGGCTCACTGCAACCTCCACCTCAGTCAAGTGATTCTTCTGCCTTGGCCTCCTGAGTAGCTGGGATTACAGGCATGCGCCACCACGCCCGGCTAATTTTTGTATTTTTGTAGAGATGGGGTTTTACCATGTTGCCCAGGATGGTTTTGAATTCCTACCCTCAGGCGACCCACCGCCTCAGTCCCCCAAAGTGCTGGGATTACAGGTGTGAGCCACCGCGCCTAGTCTCAATTGCCTTTTTATACACTTAAGGGAAAACATTGTATATTTTACTAAACATTTATCATTTACGTGGTGAACTTTATTTTGTATGTATCAAAATTTTTGGCTAGTTTCATTCCCCAATTGCCTAAAGAAGTTCTTTTAACTCTTCCAGTGTGCAGGTCTGCTGGTTACATTCTCTCCGACAGTATTTATCGGAAGGTGTCTTTATATAACCATTATTTTAAAAGACTATTTTACTGAATATACTATTCCAGTTTAACACTTTTTTCTTTCCACCATTTAAAGATGTTATACAATTATCTTCTGTTCTCCATTATTACTGATAAGTCAGCACTGATTCTTATCATTACCCTTGTATATATCTTTTGTCTCTGAAAAAAAATTTTTGTTTTTGCTTTCTAGCCATTTAATTAGGATATGAACAGATGTGGGTTTGTTTGGGGTTAAACTTCTTGAAACTCTTACACATTTCTTCAAATTTGGGAAGAATTTTGGTTAGTACTTTTTCAATTTTTCTTTTACTCTCCCACCCTCTTCCCCTCTTCTTGATCTCCAATTACACTTACAGTAGTCTGTTTTGTGTGGTTCCATAGTTCACTGAGGTGCTATTCTTTTCTTTTCCTCAATAGTTTTTTCTTTTGTGCATCAGTTTGGATAGCTTGTATTTCCCTGCCTTTAAGTTTACTGATCATTTCTTCTGTCTCCAATCTTCTATTAGGTTCACAGAATGAATTTTTATTTCAAGTATTGTATTTTTCAATTCTAAAATTTTCATTTGGTTTTTATAGTTTTCATTGTTCTGTCTGTAATTACCATCTCTTTACCTATTATGCTATTATTTTTACTTAAACCCTTGAACATGTTTATAATAGTTCTTAAAGTTTTTATCTGCTAATTCAAATATGTGGGTCACCTCTGGGCCTTTTTCTATGAATGACTTTCTCCCCTTTTTAAGGGTCACATTTTCCTGCTTAGCCTAATATTGGCTTACTTTATAGTGGATGTTATGGATACTACACTGTTGACAGTAGGAATTTGCTGTCTTCCTGTGCAGGTATTGAGTTTTGTTCTGGCAGGTAGCTGCGGTACTGATAGGATAGCTTGGTCCTGTCAAGGTTTAATTTTAGGATAGGTCAAGAGTTGTCTTTACTTTAGAGGTACAGTAGCCTTACCCCTAACCTGTGACCTTTACTTAATGCTTGGGTTGTTCAGTGAGACCTTCACACACTGGCTGATTTGAACACTGATGGCTCCCAGCACTATGGGACCTCCAGTGACTGTTTTCTGCCGTGCCCCATGAAGTCTTGCCTTGCTTACGTACAGCTTAGTATTCAGTCAGACTTAACAGTACCCCTATGCAGATTTTTGGTGCTTCTTTTCTGCACAGCTCCCCTTCCCTGGTACTCTGTCCCATAAATTTCAGCCAGCTACTTGAGCTATTCTTAACTCTGGTCCCATTTCTGCCATCCCATGCAACTCTTTTTTGTCTGGGCTCCACTTACTTCTGCTGTAGTTTGGAAAGCCCTTCCAGGAAGAAAGCCACTGAATGCAGAGTTCCACCACATAGTTTTCCCTTCTTTCAAGGATCAAGGCCCTGAATTATTTGTTGTGCAATGTCGTAGTTGTTTATGGTAGAAGGATAAGTCTAATAGTCATGGCTCTCCAATGGAGGTTTTGATTTCAGCAAATGCTTATTTCTAGAAATTCTATCTCATAAGTGTATCTGTTTAATCCCTACAGTTTTCTCATTTTGTGTAACAATTTTTGAAATTTCAAAGTTAATTTCACATATAGCCTGTATTCTGTATTTTGTATTCAGTTCCAACATATGCATTTTCTGCAGTCTAAATGTATTGTTGCCTTTGATTTTCACTCATAGTGGCTACCTTTATCTGGATTTGGTTGAATTCTTTTAAAGTTTATGCTTGATTATCATGTAAGACTCTTTTGGGATAGTTTCTTCTGCTTCATTCTGGTGTGTGTGTGTGTGTGTGTGTGTGTGTGTGTGTGTGTGTACACTGATCTCAGGAACTTTTGGGATTCCCTTAAAAGTTTTAACTCAGAAGAGGAGGGCCCATTCAGGTCCTCTCCCTCACTGCTGTTTCAAAGCTGATTATGCTCACACACTGTCAGTAGAGAACTCTGGCTTCAGGGCAATCTCTCCTCTCCATAAAGCCCGCAGGCTCCCAACCATTCCAGTTCCAACCATCTGTGAACTCTGTTGCTCTAGCTGAGGAGCCTCCCCTTATGTGGTCTGGTTCCTGGTGATTTCTAGCAAGTCCAATTCAGGCTCTAAACTGATAGTTTCCACTCCTGGCTACTTGGGGCTCAGCACTTAGATTTTTTAAAAAATTATTTTTACCCCTTTTTTGTTTTTTGTTTTTGAAGGGAAGAAATCACAGGACACTAGAAATGGTTCAGTGTACATTGTATTTGGGGTTTAGCTATTGTGGAGCAGAAATTAACCTAAGCTTTTAAAACCTCACATATCTGGGAGCAAAAACACATATGTTAATTTGCTAATCAGTCAAATAACAAAAATAAAAGGCAATAAATATCTCTATCTGAATTACTAACATACATCTTTATGTGGCAATTTATCACTATGAGAAACTGAATTAGTAGCATAATCTATTTAGTATTTCCTTTTGCTTAATTTACTTCTCAGTCCAAATAGTAAAGGATACTTTCCATAGACTGAATCTTTATAAATTTTAGAAAAAACATATTTAAGTTGACAAATGAAGGCTGACATTTGGCTGTGCTTTAATAGGCTGAACAACAAGCAAATCCTATTGCTTTATTTGTTCATTTTGCAATACGTCTTGACATCACTTTCTCCTCTTTCTTAAATTTGCCTACTTAGCAGGGCACAATGTAGTTTTGATGTGCAATCTGATTTCAAAAGATTCTTTGTGACAGCTAATCTTCTGTACACTCACTGTAATTAAATATTACAGCACAAATGGTACATAAGATACTCACTTACTTGAGAAACTCTTAGCACCAAAGAGCAATGGCATAAAAAAGTATAGATTTTCAGGGTGCTTTTCATAGATTTTTCAGCTTAAATATTTAACTCTTATAGCACCTAGAGCTTGCAAAAGCATGATATAGCATACACTCAAAATATCTTTACTGTCTTTTATTCTGTCCTAAACTCTTATTTTACCTCAGTTTAAAATCTGCTAGCAGACTAATGTGCTTACCTTTAAGCTACTTGCTTCATTCCTAAATAATACACATATAGGAAATGCCATACTGAATTAGATTAATAATCAAGTTCATTTGTCTCTGATGGTAAATGTGACCAGAATATACTGTGTCAGAGAGTGTAGCTGCCATCTTTACCTTTTTGAACCGAGTAACTGATTCCCCCTGATGTTCCTTTCTCAATTCTTTCCTTCTGCAGTCCTACCATCCAAACCTAAACTGTGTGGTAGTTCCACAAATTTACAATCACCGTAATACTTTTATTTTTTCTTCAAACCATCTCTTCCCACTTCAAGAAGTAGTCTAACTCTAGATTTGGTGAATAAATTCACCGAATACATAGCCTTCATGATTTATTCCCACTTTTACCAGACTGAGATCCTAAGTGTTAAAAATGTGCTTTTCTTAAAAAGTAAACATACCCATGCTAACAATACTCTAATAGTTCAATAACAGCTCATTAAATATAACCACGCCCCCATCTTCAAAGATAACCATCCTTAAGTTCCTTGTGGGTACTTCCAGATATATTAGAACTATGTGTAACTATGGAGTTAAATATGTTGTTTTGGATGCCGATTTTTCCTCACTCCCTCTTGAAACTATACCATAATGACAGGAAAGGAATTTTTTTTTCAGTATAGGTTTCTTTCTCAAGGACAGGAAAACTGGAAGAGAGTACAGAGACAAAATTTTTAAATCTCAGAAACATATGGTAATAAACTCATAGACCATAGAGAACTTAAATGCCTGCAATACGGAGACACCTTGAAAGTGGCAGACTCACCCCACAGAGTTCCTCAAAGGCTTAAGTGAAGGATTCAGGTACCTCTCAAGGTTGTACTATAAGAAGGAATGATTGAAACTGTTTAGGAAGAATTTACATTACAGGCTCCTCCCTGCCTGAAACTCATCCCCCTGGATCTCCCCTTCCAAACACATCAGCAGAAAACCCTTCAGTGGTCAAATCAGAGAGAGGTTTTTTTTTTTTTTTTTTCCTTTTGAGATGGAGTCTTGCTCTGTTACCCAGGCTAAGTGCAGTGGCAAAATCTCAGCTTACTGCAACCTCCACCTCCCAGGTTCAAGTGATTCTCCTGCCTCAGCCTCCCGAGTAGCTGGGACTACAGGCGTGCACCACCATACCTGGCTAATTTTTGTATTTTCAGTAGAGATGGGGTTTCACCATCTCGGTCAGGCTGGTCTTGAACTCCTGACTCGTGATCCACCCGCCTCAGCATCCCAAAGTACTGGGATTACAGGTGTGAGCGATCGTGCCTGGCCACCAGAGAGGTGTTATATGCACAAGGAGAAGAGAGGATTGAAGTTTGGGGTAACATACTGAAGAAAGGGGCTTCAAGATTTCTTTCTCACACTCAACTTTGAACAAAATAGCAGCCAACCTTTAAACTGCCAGGCAGGCGAAATCTGGCCAGCCAAAGAGAAAAGACCTATACATACTGATAGTCAAGATTCCTCGTATGAAATGCCCCAGCTACAACAGCAAATAATAAAATCCATCAGTCAAAAGCTCATCTCAGCCACACAGAGATTCAAATTTCTTTGTAAATATGAACGTATACCAAAGGATTGCCAGATATTTGAGAAATACCTCTAATATGAGAAACCCAAAATACAAATGGGAAAAAAAGAAATAAGGCAATGAAGGGAGCACAAGAAAACTTTAAAGAAACTGAAATAATCAGAGAGAATAAAAGATAATAGATGAAACAAGAATGGGAGAAAATAAAAAAGGAAAACTCAAGAAAAAAGAATATGATGAAATTAAAAAAACCCCTCAAGAATGCAGATAGAAGACTAATTGGAAATCTTTAAAAGGTACAATAAAAAGACAAAGACATGAACAGTGGAAAAGAAAGATTACAGGCTATATTACAGGCTATACTCATAGGAGATTCATTATCTGAATAATAGAAATACCAGGAAAACTGAGCAGAGAAAACAAGAGGGCAAGAAGTTCTCAAATAAATAATTACATTTTTTTTCCAGAAATGAATGCCATGAGTTTTTAGGTTGAAAAGACTGTTGAGTGCTCAGCACAAACATCAAGCAAAAGACTTTTATCAAGGTACATTAATTTGAAATTTTGGAATAGTAGGGGCAAAGGGAAGATTCTACTAAGTCCTAGAAAGAAGAGAAAAAGGTAATGGATCAGAATATAGCATCTGATTTCTTGGGAACAAACTGGAAGCTGGAAGACAGTGGGGCAATGCTTTCAGAATTCTGAGGGAAAAGGTATACCATACTCTATTTCTATCCCTGGACGAGCCGTTACCAAAGTAGGAGGGTACAATAAAGGTGTTTTCAGCACACGAGATCTCAAAATTTACTTACTGTGCAACTTTCTCAGGAAATATGGAGGTTTATGCTCTATTCCAAAAAATAAAAGATAAGAAACAGGATGACCTGGGAGATAGAGAGGGTTAAATACAATCTTGAACAGAGAGAGAGGGGAGATCCTAGAATAACACCTCTGGGCCAGGCCTAGAGGACAACCATTCTAGATGGGACAGTAGGATGGAAAGCTCCAGCAGGCATTTCTAACATAACAAAACCTTACCTATTACCTTACATATTTAAATATATTAACCATGCATGTATAGTTCTGGTCACCAGTCTGGGAGAAGTTAATTATAACTAAATATATAGTTCTGGTCACCAGTCTGGGAGAAGTTAATTATAACTAAATAAAAGGTAGACAAACAAGCAAACTGCAAAGGAGAAAATTAACAACTCTAGGGAAAGATGTATAAGGAAGCAAATATAATAACTGAAGATGACATAATAATTAACTCAGGTTATACTGTATACTGAAAGGATAGTGGAGGGGAAACATGTCTGTGTGTCTTGGAGGGGGACTTGAGTAAGGGAGACAAATCCTTCTTTTCCATTGTAGGAAGTCAATAAATACTTAACAAGCTAAAAATAAGACCAATCAAAAATGTTGATATAAACATATTATCTTGAAATATGAAGGTAGATACCAAAAGAAACTGCCAAAAGA
Source organism: Homo sapiens (assembly GCF_000001405.40). Lineage (NCBI taxonomy): Eukaryota > Metazoa > Chordata > Mammalia > Primates > Hominidae > Homo > Homo sapiens. Next base: position 17,124,009 of record NC_000008.11, on the reverse strand, counting down.
TTTGAAAGTGATTGCCTCTGAGAAGCACAACAGAGGGATGGTGGTTTTTTTTTTTTTTTTTAAAGACTTTAGAGTTGTCTTTTTAAAATATATGCATATAACTTTAATAAAACTAAAACATAGTTCTATGCAATCAAAGTATATTCTAAACACAAACTAGTACAGTACACATTCTTTCATACCTTACTATGCTCCCATTAAAATATTTTACAGATCATGTCATATAAACATAAGTGGACCTCCTACTTTTTTCAGTTATTATTTTAATAGTTATATAGTATTTCATTGAATAAATCTATTTATTGACATATAAATTTACTAACCCATGTATTGGGATATGATAGTCCCACAAGTAAAACTGTGAGATATTTCTCTATTGCCCTCCAAAGATGCTGCCCCCAAACTTACAGCTCACCAGCAACATTCGAGAGTTCTGAATTGCCCCCCATGCTCAATACTATACATTATATAACTATCCTTTCAATGTGCAAGGTGAAAAGATATGTTGTCATTTTAACTTGCACTTCTTTACATTTATTTTTCCAAAAACTGTCTACTCAGTCCATTAAAAAAAAATCTATCCTCATTCAGATCCCTCTCCATTCTCTTATCTTTTCTATTCTATTTTTCGTAAGTACACCTCTCTCTCTTCACAGTGTTGGACAAAATTTATCTTTCCCAGAAAACTTTCTCTGTGCGTATAGTCACAATTATAGGTATATTCCTCCATTTTTAAGATGTGTGCCAAAAATACTGATTATGCTATATAGAGAACTACAAATAAAGTATTTCACAGAATCTAAGATGCAACATTGCAAGGTGTACCATTATTTTATGAACTACTAAGAAATTAAAAATGCTACCAATTTTTTACAAACCACAGTGATTTCTTATCACTTACAATTTTTATTACAGTTTCTGAATATTATGGAATTCATATTTTTATATCTTTTGGAAGTAAAAGCATTATATTTTAAAAAGTGTTAATTTACTATATGGCTATAAGTAGTAGGATAATAACTAGTGTATTTTGAAACATTTCTAGGTGTTACCTTAGTAAGATGATACCTACAAAATTAATACTCCATTAAGTCACATATAAACTTTCTGAAAAGTTTTCCAGTACCAATGACCATAATTCTATAATTTAGGAATTCCTACAATTTACTTTGAGAAGCCTTATAGCTCTGTGAGTTACCTACCCACAAAGGTGTTGATGAGATAAATGTCATTAGCATGTGTTGCCACAGAAGAGGGAATAAAATCAAAAGAGGTTTAGTAACCCATAAAGATTTCCAAAGTTTGAAGGTTACATTTTCAGAAAGTCATTATTAGTCCACAGATACATATAAAAGCCAAGTACAATGTTTCTTGATTCAAGGGCAGAAATATTTATTTTAAGATAATGTAAGAATGTAAGACAGGTTGCTTTGCAATTTATAATAAGAACAGTAAGTTGGAACTTAAGCTAAATAAATTGCTTATTATGAAATGATTCTGAGAAGTACCATAAACTGTTTATCATGTATGCTTTCTGTAAAAAGTTTAATATGAATTTTATGTATAACTTAATTTTTCCAAAGAACAGTTTATAGAAGGAAACACTGACAATAACAGCATACATGTAGTCAGTACATTATTATTTTCAAACCACTAGCAAATTTTAAATTGATATAAGTAACAATTCAGTGAGATATTTTTATCTCTCATTTTATAGATGATAAAATTCAAGAGTGATAATATGATGGAAATCACTGTAATTTACTTTCTTTTCTATTTTATCAGAACATTTATTTATTCACATTTTAATATTATGTTGCAGCCTTACAAATGTTTTCATCCACTCACTCTGATAAGCAATAAAGAATAAAATAAAGATTGCATATGTACAATGCTATTCTTCCTTGGGAAAATGACAGAATTATAAAGGATTTCAATGGGCTAATTTAATTTTTAATCTATATTTGCAGGATTTGCCATGTACGCAACATAGTATAACTTATAGTCAAGGATTAAAGGAAACTGCATTTTTTTCAATTACTTTAGGTACCAAATCATATTAAGAACATTCAGTGTAAGGTAAAATAGACCTGAGGTATGTTATATGAGTGGGTAGGCATTTTCATTTAGTCAGTCAATTAAATCAACTTTCAAAGCAAGTGAAATTATATTCTTATACTATATGGGATCCTTGAACTTATGAATAATATATTTTAAAATTACTGTCATAAATAATATTAGATAAACAATGTAAAAAGTCTAACATACAAAATCAATGCTAAGAGTAACATTTTCTTGGAAATAACATTACTTTTATAAATAAGCTGATGCAGATCAATTTCACATTTAATAACTTATAAAAACAAAGTCAGTGTTTTCTAGTTTCATATGCAAAAGCAAAGTAATAGTTGGAGTGTATGTAACCTACATTAAATATGTCTTAGAAAGGAAGATAAATGAACTTATCTTCCATATGCAATATGTAAATACGTTAATTCAGACTAATTGTTCTATTTTTGTGTAGTATCTTTGTATAAACTAAGCATTTTTAATTGAACAGATTTCTATTAAGTATTATCAAATTGTTTCTCTATGTACAAATCTAATTTTGTTGTGATTCAACAGAAAGTTTTTATTTTCCCTTTTAAGACATATTCTTTTGAAATAATAAATTATATTTAAATTATTATTACTGGCTGTTTAGCATCACTTTTCAAGTGGTCCTTTTGCAAGAAACAAAAATATTAGCTTCTACTTAATATATACATCAGTCTTATAAACCATTTTATATTAGTCTTTTACAATACTCATTTGATGCTAGACATACATTAACAATATGCAGTAAGTTACAGAGTGTAAGACGTTATTTTTACTAGTGTTATTAACGTGTACCACCTATGATCAGGAGCAGCTTCATGTTTAAGAAGATAATGACAATGACAATGATTACTGTTACAACAACTACCACTGCTTCTACTATCAACACATGACTTTTTGGGGGAGGAAAATTCTACACTTTAAATTTCTTTACCGTATACATAAAACAATAACAGACATTCTGTTGACTTTGGCAAATAAACAACAATTTTTAAAAACTTTATACAAGTCAAACAACATATGTTAATTAAGTACTTTTAAAAGTTAAAAGTACACGTAAACAATTGTTTTATATAGTAGCTTAATTTCTATTTCTTTTCAAAATTATCTCAGTGTAATTAAAAACTGGGCAAATAACAGGAATTTAATTCTAAGGGTATTATAAATCTCAAGCAATATTCATCTCTGAAAATAAGTTCACAGTCCAAAATCAAAGAAAATGCGATGTTCATTTTTAGGCGATCAACATTCCATGAGTCATAAATTATTTTGAAATGAGGAAAATTTCTAATGAATAAATAAAAAAATAATATTGAAAGTACATTCATATGTAGTCACCGGAAGTATCTATATACTTCTGAAGGGAATGAAAAAGTGCAGAGAGTTCAGCAAATCAAGGCAAAGCTCAACTTGATTTTATATATATAACATTTGTAGTAACAAGATGCATTTTATCTGTTTTATGTTTAAGAATTCAGTTCCAGAAAAAATATCAATTTCATAGCATTCACCTTTTCCTTCATTCTCTACTTCTTCTGACCTCAGACCTGCTTCCATTCTCAAAATGTTGCTTCTTGTTATTTGTCACACAGATAGTAATCCTTTAAACTTTGTTTTAGGAGTATCTAATTAAAAAAAATAATAACACAAAAGCAATATTTATTTAGGATATAATTCTGAGGTGATAGTGTTAAATATTCTTATAATAATATGAAACGTAAGGAATTCAATAAAAACACCCCACATAAAATATAAGACACAAAGACTTAAAAGCTGAGTGTTTTGTTTAGTAATCTGTGCAATCCTCAATCTTAGGCTTAGAGAAAGGTAGCCACTTCCAGGTATGGCTCTACGCACTATTACTTAGAATCAGTGGTGCCAGTGTGATACTACAAGTCGGTCGGGAACACTACCTGTGTGGACATACCAGACAATGGTCCTCCTTTTTTTTCAATGTTTAGTTTAAGAATTTATAAGGCAGTTTAAAATTCCTTAAAATGGAGATTAGGAAGACCTGACTTCTTTTGTTAACTCAGCTACAACGGTTACCACCTTAGACAAATAAGTAAGCCTGCTTGCCTCTAAACATTTTAGATGAGTATTTCCCAAAATGGGTTCCATAAAACACTAGATCTCAAACCTAATTTGTAAAATGCTGAATACTGCCATTTCCTTTTGGCAAGACAAAATGCATAGTAGCATATTACAATCTAATAAACTCTATGGGGAAGAAACTTATTTAACCAGTTTTATTATGATATTTCTTAAACTTGACTAAGCAACTTTTTTTTTTAAGTATGCATTGATGTGCTGAGGAACCACTTTGGGAAACACCTCTATCTATCTATCTATCTATCTATCTATCTATCTATCTATCTATGCTTCAAGCTTGAGAAAAACAGCAAGAAACATATACATGAATATACTTGCAAGCATTTTTAAACCAACAATAAAATCTCCATTGCAGAAATCTAACTAATAAAAACCCACAACTGACCAAAATTTTATCGCTACAGTTGACTTTTGAAAGAAAAAAGAAAAAAACAAACTCCTCGCTTGGAGATTAGAAACAAGTTTGACACATTTTTTGGGTTATAAATAATAAAAATGTGATAAGGAATAATAAGTTATAATAAATAGGAAGTAATAAATGAATAAGATAGAATGAAGCTTAAATTCTGGTTTTCCACTGACTAGCAAGTTATCCTATGCAAGTTACTTGTTAAACATTGATTTTTCTCTGTTGTTAAATGGGATATCTGTGAGAATTAAATGAGATACTACCTGTGGAAGAACACTTAATATAGTGCCAGACAACTAAAATAACTAAACAAATAAGCTGTTATTTTCTGTGGATGCTCAGAATCATGATCCTAAAAAACAGTAACAAATATTCTTTGGGTGCTAATTATCCTATATTATAAAAGTCCAATTTTGATTTATTACATTGTCTGCTCACATACAAAACTTCAGGTTTAACGTAAAATTTTTCAATCAAGATACTCTAATGACTTAAAAATTAAAAATAAATTAGATAATTCTATTTCTTTCAGCTATTTTCTAAATGTTATAACAGAAAAATAAATTATGATCCCTATTGTTACTGAACAAATTTAGACAAATAGAAGCTAACATACTTATCTGCTGTGAAGTTCTTTCTTCAGGCAGGATTTGAAAGTGGGGTACTTCTGGACTGTTTTATAACCCTGTAAAACAGAAGAGCAAAGTGTGCAAATGTACAGAAAGACAAATACAGCGTGATTTCACTTACATGTGGAATCTAAAAAGTCAAACTCATAGAAGTGGAGAGTAGAATGTTAATTACCAGAGGCTGGAAGGCTGGGGGACTGGGGAGGAAAGGGGGAAGGTGACCAAAGGATACAAAGTTCCAATTAGACAGGAAGAATATGATTTTGAGATCTATTGTGCAGTAAGTTGACCATAGTTAGTAATCATGTATTTCATATTTCAAAAATGCTTTTAAAAAGTACATTTAAAATGTTCTCACAATAAAATGTGAGCTGATAGATTTGTTAATAAGTTTGATATAATCATTCCACTATATATATATACCAAAATATCACATTTACCCCATAAATACATATTTGTATGCTATTATCTGTTGATTAAAAATAAAAATTAAAAAAAGGGCAAATGTAAATAAAATGCTAAAGGCCACAGGTATGTAATAAATAAAAATAAAAACATAACACTTAAGAGAGCAGTACAGTGGCAAACGTTTCTAGCGTACTTTATATTTAATTTGATCTTGCTCCTCTAAAATTTTTGAGGCAAAATAAACGATTTTCAATGTAACTTGTTTCAAGTACTTCTGGCATCACCTAAAATGTTAACAACTAACCACCAGGTGGCAGTTAAGTACACAGCATCTTTACTCAAGTAGCTTGGACTTTAAAGTCATTAAAAATCTTTAAAAATACTGTCTCAGATGAATCTTGAGGTTTTGGATATATAACTTTTTCTCTTTTAAAATGTATAATACTGGCCGGGTACGGTGGCTCATGCCTGTAATCCCAGCACTTGGGAGGCCAAGGCAAGAGGATTACTTGAGGTCAGGAGCTTGAGACCATCTTGGCCAACATGGCAAAACCCTGTCTCTACTAAAAATACAAAAAATTACCCGGGCACGGTTGTGCACACCTGTAATCCCAGCCACTCAGGAGGCTGAGGCAAGGGAATCTCTTGAACCCGGGAGGCGGAGGTTGCAGTGGGCTGAGATTGCGCCACTGCACTCCAGCCTGGGCAACAGAGCAAGACTCCCATCTCAAAAAAAAAAAAAAAAAAGGATAAAACTTAGGGATATTCTTGCAAGAGGGAAGATTGAATATTCTAGCTCTTAATTTTAACAGAACATTTTTTCTCTTTTTCTATTTGTGGCACATCCATAATATGTTAGATATGTACACATTTATTGATTCATACTATATTTCCAGCTTTAAAACATGTTTCTTGGGGGAAAAAAATCACTGAATTTCTGGTAATTATTTTTTACTGTAAGATTTCGATAAAAAAATTTTTAACTTATTTTTCATATTAAAAAGTAATGATTATGCAGTAACATAAGAGCATCAAGTTACCTAGAGGAAATCTGTGTCATCTAAAATGAGAAATAGTGGCCAGGTGTGGTGGTTCATTCCTGTAATCTTAGCACTTTGGGAGGTCAAGGCAGGAGGACTGCTTGAGCCCAGGAGTTCAACGTCAGCCTGGGCAACAGAGTGACCTCGTTGCTAGTAAAAAAAATTATAAATTAGCCAGGCATGGTGGCATGCACCTATAGTCCCAGCTACTTGGGAGGCTGAGGCAGGAAGCTCACTTGAGCCCAGGAGTTCAAGGCTGCAGTGAGCTGTGATCATGCCACTGCACTCTAGCTTGGGTGGCAGAGTGAGACCCTGTCTCTAAAAGAATAAATAAAATTAAATTAAAATAAAATAAAGTGACAAATAGTGATATTTATTTGTATAGTAACAAGTCCGAAAAGCTAATATGCAGACTAAATTTTTTGAAAATATTTGGCAACATTTTTCTTCCACAAACTAGGATGAAGACATTAGACTGACTATGAAAATAAATTATTATAAGGTCAAACTGATTTCACATTTTTTAAAAAGCATTCTCTTTTATCACCTCAAATTGTTTTTTAAGGGAAGTAAGGCCTATGTTTTTTCTTTTCAAATAAAGCATTCATGTTTATATCCTTAAGAAATTAAGATAAATTATTTCTCAACTTAGATGGATTGATTTCCCTCAGACTTTAAAAAGGATATCAATAGGTTTAAAATGTGTAGGTTTACCCGGAATCCTCTATGGAGTCTGTCTTTCATAATTCCAATAAATTCTTTATAACTTAATTGATCATCTTTGTCAACATCAAAAATCTTGAAGACAGTGTTCACTAAATGTGGTGAAAATTTGAGTCCAGTAGCTACATAGACGGCACGTTTAAATTCATCTAGATAAATGTTACATAGAAAAAGAATAGACTGTTATTATTTTTATAATATGTGTTAATTACTAGAAAGGTTGTAAAAGAAGTTGTTTTCTAAATGTGAATCATGATCTTATGCAACATGGCCTTCCATTAATCCTGCTGTCTTTTAGGTAATGAACATTTTTGTGGTTTAAATGAAAAGAGCCAAGCAACAGCTGTATCTTAGGTTAATAATGCATTCACATTCGATGAATGTTTAATGAGCACCTACTATCAGTGACAGATACTTTAGAAGTTAGTAAGATGAATAGGTTTTCAAGAAACTTACGGTTCAGATGGGAAATGAGACCCCTGCCCAAATAATCATTACAGGGGCCACACAAAAACTACCAATAAAGTGCTATGAGAATCTGGAGATGAGTGATCACTTCTGTGTTTAGTGTGGAGCAGGGAGAAGGGAGAGAAAGGCAGTGGTTAGGAAAAGGATGTGATTTTGTCTTTGAGCTGAACACAAAAGGACAATTTCAGCCTATAGAGATGACAGAAATGGCAGATGAGATGACATGAATGAACCAAGGCAGGCGGGGAGGTGGGAGGGCATAAAGCACATTCAGAAAACAGGGAGTCTGGTTTGGGTGGAGCAGGGGACATCTAGGATCTCAAGAAACTCTGCACAGGGACTTTGAGGCAGGGAACCAGAACATTCTTCAATAGGCAATTGGAAAACTTAAGAGTTTTCCATTGCAGATGTGTCATAGAAAAGTTAATTTTTTAAGAAAGATTATTCTGTCAGGTGTGTAGGAAACATCAAAGAGGAAAGCAGCTAGTAGCAGGATTGTCACTTTGGTGGCTACTACAATATTCCTTTTAAGAGGTAATAACCTGAATAAAGATACTTGTGATGGCAAAAAGAGATGGACGTATTTCTAGCGCCTGCAAGACAGGTGACACCATCAATTTTTTTCATTTTCCAGTTCTAAAAAACAAACAACTTTTCTATTCTGAACCCAGTAACCAGATATTGATTTGTTTCTTTGCACGTTGATGAGATTTATCACAGCAGTAATGGCTAGTCTGTAGAGGCAGAGTTGCCAAAGGTTTTGGCTTTAAAACACTAAAATGGGTTGAGAATATGCCATATTTGAACATCTAGACTACAGAAAGGGTAAAATATAAAATTTTGCAGGTTTCTCTTATTCAATGAATAAATGAATAAGGCCACATGATGAAATCAGTATCTATGTTTTTGGGAAAGAGAAATTATCATCAGCACTTAGGGACTGCAGTTTGGCTTCTCTCTAGAACATAATAATAGCCTGTCCTCTGGGGTTTTTTTTTTTTTTTTGAGACGGAGTCTCGCTCTGTCGCCCAGGCTGGAGTGCAGTGGCGGGATCTCGGCTCACTGCAAGCTCCGCCTCCCGGGTTCACGCCATTCTCCTGCCTCAGCCTCCCAAGTAGCTGGGACTACAGGCGCCCGCCACTACGCCCGGCTAATTTTTTGTATTTTTAGTAGAGACGGGGTTTCACCGTTTTAGCCGGGATGGTCTCGATCTCCTGACCTCGTGATCCGCCCGCCTCAGCCTCCCAAAGTGCTGGGATTACAGGCGTGAGCCACCGCGCCCGGCCTCCTCTGGGGTTTAAGCTTGTGCATTAACACAGATTATGGCAGAGACAGGTAAAATCACCTTAAGACAAACAAAGTCCCCATAGGGCAAGAAGTTTTAAAAAGGACATGGCCATGAGGAGAGGGAAGGTGATCACAGCCACAGGATCCTAGGAAAAGGGCTTGGCTTCTTAGTCCACCTATAGCCAAAGACAGCTGGCTCTGAGGACACCAGCACTTGGGATTCTATGACCACTGTATTTATTTGAAAATTATGCAAAACTGATACTCAATTTTACAGGTTAGTTGGTTAATGTAAATCCATGGCTAAGAGGTGGCTCTGCTGAGAAAATTCCAGTTTCTGAGTCAGCAGGCATTAAATTAGTAAAATAAAATACCACCCTGTAAGAACAGGGCACGACCAGCTGCTTCCTCCATAGGTACACACAAGTCCCTCAATGTCACCCAGTGGCCATGAGGTTTCTTCCCTCATGGCTGTTTTCTGACAAGTACCAGAACTGACTTGTCACTGAAAGTATACACCGGACTTTCACACAAGTTGATGGGTGATATGTCATATTTAATTAATTGGTTGCCAAAATCTATAGAAACAATGTAGTATTACTTCTTGCTTTTAATTTTTGTAGATGATTACTTACCTTGCCCTATAGAACGACTTGCAAAGTTATACATATTCAGGGCTATTGCAAAGTCTTCTAGGTTGTTTAAAAACTGGAAAAATGACCTGAATTCATCAAATGTGATGCCCTATATTGGGAAAGGAAATGAAAATACATTTAGTATTGCCAAATTTATTAAAATCAGGATCTACACATAAGAGAAAAAAACAGATTAAGCATTTGCAATGTATCTTGTAAGTAAACATTTCCAGGGCACATTTTGACGTTGTTCTCCAACTGGAATGTAAAATTCACTCAGACTTACTTTCACTGGGTAGTGCTGCCTGCTATTAGAATAATAGGTAAAAGTATTTTGTAAACACTGTCGTGTCAGCACTAAATTCCAAAAAAAAAGCTCCAATAAAAAAGAATTAAAAAGTTTCAATTTTGAAAATCCTCTCTTTTATGCCTGATTTTTTTTAACCTTGTAAGGTAAATATGATAATAAAGAAAAAAAACAGAAAAAAAAGCCATAAAAAAGTTTCCCCTGCACATGTATTCCTCAAATGGAATTCAGCATCATTAGATCATGAATGTCTTTATAATGACAATGCAAAATCAAAGTGCTGACTCCATGTCAACGCAGTGTATTCACACTTGTTCCTGTCACTATAGCACTGCCAGGGCAGTGGCAGGAAGTGCAATGACCTCAGAGGTACAGTTCTGGGTGCCTCCACACTGGGCTGGTGTGGGATAATGTAAAGGACTGGTGGTCAGGGTGGCCTCTTCTGGAATGTCATGTGTATAAACTGCAATTATTGCCACTGCTGTTACTTCAGTTGAATAGGGAAAGTCTTTGAAATAAGTACAATGTATCTTAGAGAATACACATTTGGACAAGAGGAGCTGCATTTAGTTAATGGGTTCTCCTCAGCAAATTAACATAATTAAGAAAGAGAACAGAGAGAAGAGCAGAAGGCCGAGTTGAGGCCTAACAAATTCTTACTTAATACAAGGGTGAGAGGAAGGGACACTAACAAGGCCGTGTTGGAAGGCCAGGGAAAGCCCCACAGGGATCTAGTTTCATATAAGCCAGCTACTGATTAGATCAAATGATTTATTACCCAAACACTCAGCTTTTGGTATATGTTACTTCAATTACAACTCATCTTTTACTTGCAATGGGAGAATCCTTACTGTCTTTTCTCCTCACATTGTTTACTTTCCTTTCCTTACATTGATCATTTATGACCATTCCAATCTTGGATCCTGCTTTGTGACCCTATCCCACCCATCATGTTTTCTGTAGAAGGCTGTTTGAATCAGTTAGGAGGACTGCACCAGAAAGGGTTTGTCGTGATGTGGAGAGCTTGTTGCCAAAAAAACTAGTCACTGCTGTGGTTCTGCACCAGTTTATGCTGCGACCTGCTGCCATAACAGCAGTGTCTGAGTGACAGGCTACTGTTAGTAGGAGTAAAACACACGAGGATGGAATATTTTTAAATAAAGGGAAAACAAAAATATCAATATATTGGGGGGCAGACATGAGATTAAGAAATAAATTTAAAAATGACAGACTATAATGTTCAACATCTGAACTTTCAGATTTTTCAACACATGGTTCTCATTTTTGGAAAGAGGTCAAATTCAGAACATACAATCATTCTTTTGTGTAGATTAAACACTTTGTGTTTAGAAATATAAAATTATAAAATAACAAATGGGCCATGTATTTTGATGGAGATAATTAAAGCAATGTTTCTTAATGGCCAAGAGGGACAGACAGTCAGAGAGGGGCAGACAAAAGGGGTGTGGCCATTTCTTCACTCTACCATCCTCACACTCAGAATCACTACTGGAATAAACCATCAGGACTTGAATGGAACTTGTCTTAACTGTTAGAAATAAGGTGAAAAGAAGTAGCTTATCTGCTAACAAAAATAAAACAATGATAACTGAAAAGCTGAAAACATCAAAAAATACATGCACTGAGAGTACCGGAATAAACTCAAATATTTATGGTCAACTGACTTTCAATAAGAATGTTGATATGGTTTGGCTCTGTGTCCCCACCCAAATCTCATCTCAAATTGCAATCCCCACGTGTCCAGGGAGGGAGGGACCTATAATCCCCCCATGTTGAGGGAGGGAAGTGACTGGATTATGGAGGCAGTTCACCCCATGCTGTTCTCGTGATAGTGAGTGAATTCTCATGAGATCTGATGGTCTTATAAATGGCAGTTTTTCCTGTGTGTTCTCTCTTTCTCTCCTGCTGCCTTGTGATGAAGGTACTTGCTTCTTCTTTGCCTTCCGCCATGATTGTAAGTTTTCTCAGGCCTCCCCAGCCATGTAGAACTGGGTCAATTAAACCTCTTTCCTTTATAAATTACCCAGTCTCAAGCATCTCTTTATAGCAGTGTGAAAGTGAACTAATATAGATGTCAATATCATTTATTGGGGAAGGAATTGTTTCTTCAATAAATGGTGCTATGACAACTGGATATCCACATGCAAAAGAAAGAAGCTAGACCCTAACTTCATACCATTTATAAAAACTAATTCAAAACAGATCAAAGTTCTAAATTTAATAGTTAAAGCTAGTAGACTTACAAAATAACCAGACAAAACTTCATGACCTTGAATTGCCAACAACTGCTTAAATATGACACCAAACACATAAGGAACAAAATAAAAATAGATAAATTAGACTTCATCAAACTAAAAACATGTACATTAAAGAACACTATCAAAATTAGCTGGGTGTGGTAGCATGGGACTGTACTCCTAGCTACTTGAGAAGCTGAGGCAGGAGGATCACTTGAGCCCAGGAGTTTGAGGTCGCAGTGAGTATGATCATGCCACTGCACTCCTGCCTGGGTAACAGAGTGAGACCCTGTCTGTAGAAAAAAATTAAAGATAAATAATAAATAAAAATAAAGTGAAAAGACAATCCACAAAATGGGAGAAAATAGTTGCAAATAATATATCTGATAAGGCTCTAGAATCCAGTTTATATAAAGAACATGTACAAAGCAGTAACAAAATGATAAACAACCTAATTTAAAAATGGGCAAAGGACTTGAAAAATCATTTCTCCAAAGAAATGGCCAATAAGCATATAAAAAGATGCTGAATATAATTACTCCCCGGGGAAATACAAATCAAAACTACATGTACACATATATTCACAGCAGCACTACTCACAACAGCCAAAGATAGAAATCGCCCAAATGTCTATGGAAGGATGAATGGATAAACAAATTGTGGTATTTACATAAAATGGACTATTATTATTATTCAGCCATAGCAAAGAATGAAATACTGATACATACTACAATGTGGATGAACCTAAAAAACACTATGAGACCAGGTATGGTGACTCACCCCTGTGATCCCACTACTTTGGGAGGTTGAGGTGGGAGGATCACTTGAAGTCAGGAGTTTGAGACAAGTCTAGGCAAAAAAACAAACAAAAAAAAACCCTGTCTCTACCCCCCCCTCCCCAAAAAAATTGCCAGGTACAGTGGGACATGCCTATAGTCCCAGCTCCCTGGGAGGCTAAGGTGGGAGAATCACTTGAGCCAAGGAGTTCGGGGCTACAGTGACCTATGGTTGCACCACTGCACTCCAGCCTGGGTGGCAGAGAAAGACCCCATTTCTTAAAAGAAATAAATTTAAGTGAATAATAAAAATACTATGAAAGAACCCAAACAAAAAGGTTACATGCTATATGATTCCACTGAAATTAAATATTAGAATAAGTAAATCCACAGAGACAGAAAGCAGAGTGATGGTTGCCAGGGACTGAGGAGAGAAGGAAACGGGAAGGGACTGCATCATAGGTACGGGGCTTACTTTTGGTATGAGGAAAATGGTTTAGAAGTAGAAAGAGGTGGCAGTTGCACAATATTGTGAATTCACTAAATCTCACTGAATTATTCAGTTTAAAACGGTTAATTTTTTGTTATACAAATTTTACCTCAATAAAATAAACAACAAAAGGCTAGGAAGAGGAAAAGACTAACTCAAAAAATCCAAACAAATCATTACAATAAAGTATTGACTAAATACAAACAGACGTTCAGAAAACATGGTCTTATGAGGCTTTCAAGTGTATATAAGCCATGTTTGTTTTCAGCACAAAATTCATGCTGATCCCATAAATTATGCCACAATATATACTGTTCAAAGTTTATTGGTAACTGATGTAAATGGCAAGTATATAATAACTTTTAGAAATATAAGTGAGTTTAAAAGGTTAGGAGAAATAAATCCAAACTCCAAAATTTACTGGCTGAATGACCTAAGGTAAGCCACTTAAATCTTTCTGAATATCCATTTCCTTAAAGCTTAATAACAATAATTATACTACTTTCTTGTTAACATTTGCATTACATGGTTAGTATGAGAAGTCATCTTTCCATCCCTTCTGGTCACTATCTACATTATCTCCTAGATAAGTTTACCTAGTCCCATGGCATTTTAAAAATTTTTAAATTATTTATTTAATATATTCACTTGTTCAAAATTCAAAAGGCCCAAAGATTGTATAGCACAAAATGTCCCTTCCACCCTTAGCCATGTAGTTTCCTTCCTTAGAGGAACCAATTTCTAGTCCTGTGAATCCTTCCAGAGTTAGCATAAGCTTTTTATAGTCTACAAACGGCTCTAAATCATGCCCTTTTCACACTTAGTATATCTTGGAGATAGTTCTGCACTAGTAAAGAATTTTTTTTCATCTCTCTTCAGCTGCACCTTATTCTATTCTATAGATATATCATGATATATTTGATCAGTGACTTACTGAAAGACATTTAGGCCATTTCCAGCCTGTTGCTATTACAAACAACATTATAATTAGTAACCTTGTACATGTGCCATTTCATCATGAGTGAATAAATCTGTAGGTAAAATTCATAAAACAAAAAAGCTTCAAGTTCTACATTTTAAAATACCATCTATCCATCAATTAACAAGAGTTCAACATAATATATATATTTGCATACATATACATAAAACATATTTGTTAGGAAATAAGCAAATTATACAGTATGTTAGAATATGATTATGCTATGGAAATAAAAACAGATTAAGGTAGGAAGGAATAAGGACAGCCAGGAGAGGGAGTATCATTTATATAATAGGTTATATATTATTCATATAATAGGCTATTATTTATATATTAGATTAGAAAGGGTAGGCATCATTGAGAAATAGCATAACGAGCCATGTGGCTATTAAGGGAAGAACATTCTCATCAGAGGGGACAACATATACAAAGCCCTAAGACAGAAGATTTGAGAAACAGTAAAGAGTTTCTGTGGTTGGTGCAGAGTGAGCTAGGAGGATCAGAATATAGGAAGTGAGGTCAAAGGTAATGAGGGAGCAGTGTGTGTAGGAGCCACTGTAAGGATTCTGGCTTTTACTTTGAGAAGAATGGCAATCTTACTGTGGTATGATCGAAATCACAGTCAAAAACATTTCCGTGAATTCTAAATGCAGAATAGATTGCAGGGAGGCAAAGCTGGAAGCAGAAGGATGATCTGGGGGGAAATTCCAACACTCCAGGCAAGACAGAATGGTTTCTTGGATGGTAGCAGTGGAGGTGGCTAGGAGTGGTTAAATTCTTATACAGGTAGTATCAATAGGATTTCTTGATAGACTGATTGTACGTAGAATGTGAAAAGAGGGAGTCCAAAATTTTGGCCACAAGAACTAAGAAGAACCGAAGTCCTATGAACTGAAACAGGGAAGATGGTTTGCAGAACAAGTGTTATGGAATGACCAGGAGTTCAGGTTTGCAACCATTAAGTCTAAGACATCTACTGGATCTTCAAGTGGAGATGCTGAGTAGGCAGTACATTGCAAAAGCCTGAAATTCAGGGGAGAAGTTTAAGCTGCAGACAATGTGGATATACACTAATGACTACTAATCAGTAGTCCTGACTGCACCCTTGACCGCTAGATTCACATATCCAACTTGCCTGCTTAATTTTTCATTGAGATAACTATTAGGAATCTAAAATATGACTGGTTCCTAATAAAACTCTTGATTCCCTCCTAACCCTAAATTCATGGTTTTGCTTAGCTCAGCAAATGGCATTGTTTCAGCCTGTGGTTCAAGCCAAAGCCCTAGGAGTTCCTGATTCCTTTTTCTCTTATAATGAAATATCCACGAACAGGTACTATCAGCTCTACTTTTTAAATGATCCAATCAATATCTGACCCCTTTTCCCTACTCTTACCCTGGTCCAAGCCATGCTTATCTATTGCCTGGGCACCTATAACAGTATCTTAACCTGTCTCTTCCTTTCAAAGCCAGGCCACCTAAAATCTATTCTGTTATGTAGCAGCCAAGATATCTCTTGAAACATGAATCAGATATCTGGCACATGAATTAGACCACATCTGAGTGTCACAGTTGATTGTCAATACTTGTTGAATATTTGCTGAATGAGCATCATGCCTATGCTAAAGCAAGGTTCACAAACTTTTTCTGTAAAGGGCCAGAGAGTCAATATTTTCATTTTTACTGGCTACATGGTCTCTGTTGCCTCAACTTTACCATTATAGTGTAAAAACAGCTGCAGACAGTATATTAAATGAATGAGAATGGCTGTGTTCCAATACAATTTTACTTACAAAAATAGGTGCAGTAGTTTGCTGACTCCTGCTTTAAAGTTTAAATACTATAGTGGCTTCCCATCACTCTTACAGTCACTCTTTGAATAACTAAACTTCTTACCTTAGCCTACAGAGTCTTAAAAGATTTGACCCATATCTACCTCTCCTTACTCATCGCCTACAATTTTCCTGTCCACTTACTTTACCTTTTGGCATTTTCTCAAATAAACTAAGCTTCTCTGTCCTCAGGCCCTTGGCATTTGCTGTTACCTCTGTCTAGAAGACTTTACCCAGAACTTCGCATAGCTCATTCTTCACAGTCTCTCCCCAGAAGTTACCTCTTCACTCTTCAGCAAAGCTCTTCCTAACAGTCTACCTTCTTTTCCAGTCCCCATGACTCTTGCTCCCTTTCATAACATTTATCAGTATCTGAAAGTATGTCTTTTTTTACTTGTTTGTCTCTCCACTAACATACATTTCCATGAGAGAAGGATTTTGCTTATGTTGCCACTTTAACCCCAGTGGTTGGAATAAAGCCAAGTAAATAGTAGATGCTCAATAAATATCTGCTAGGTAAACAAATGAAAATGAAAGCAATTTAGAAATGTAAAGGGCTATTCAAATATTAGTAGCTGTTATTCTTCTGGAGAGAAGGAGATGAGAGATGGAAGGAAGGGGAAGAGTTAAGTAGGCGGAAGGAGGGGAAAGACATAAGTAGAGTGTGGTAAGAATATCATTGTCTTAGAAAGCCTTGGATTTGAATCCTTGGACAACGGTCTAAGTATCTGAAAGCCTCAGCTTCCACTATTCTAAAATATGCTGAAGAAAGTCAAGCCTGGAAGGTTGCTCTGAGGATTGATGAGGTAATGTAGAAAAAAAAAATCAATGAGAATCAATTAATTTTGATTCACGTGCAAATTTTTCCATTTCTACAAGTAATCATTTGTGGTGCTTAAGATACTTCTAGAAATTGGAATTTTTCAGAAACTGAATTTAACTTTAAAAAACTTAACCTTTTAAGTTACAGATTTTAATATTTCCATTTAATAAAAGCAAAAAAAAAAAAAAAAGCAGATTCAAGTCCCTAAGTAATACCTCAGTAGCTGGAAAAATTGCACTACTAGGGTAGTACAATTTTCAATATTTATTTTTAGGGAAGTACCTATGAATTGGAAAAATTCCGTTTAACATGTACAACAGACAAAAAGTACTCTAATTTGGAGATATCGTAAACTAATTGCCAAATGCATGAAGTCTTTTTTTTTTTTTCATTCCTTAGGGGAAATGGAAAATTGTTAACATTGTCACAGTGTATCCATTCTAAACAAAGTCAAACTATTTGCAAGTTTTTCTTGGATGACTAACCTGATCCTTGTCTAAACACAAATAGAAGGCAATATATCTAAAACATCCCACTCTTGAAGAGGTGCTTGTAACACTAGTTCTATTTGGTGGCAATGATGCATTCAAATACCACTAGATAATGCAACTGTTCAGAAGCACTGACAACACATTTGTTACTAAACAAATAGGCAATCAGTTGTCCCAGGTTCTTAACCATTCATGACATCCAAACTCTTTGAAAAACTTCACTTCAGCTGATGATAAGATCACTCACTCATCAATGGTGGTCTTCAAATGACCTTTTATTAAGGGTGTTACGGAAAGGAATAGAGTGTGACAGAAATGATGTCAACATAAACTGTTTTTTATGAGGTGGTATTTAGGTAGTAGTCAAAGCATAGAGCTAAGTGGAATTCTCCTGAAAAATGATATTGTTAATTTGAATAAAACAATTGGTAGTAGCCTAAAGGAGTTTTGAAATACCTAAGAAAAATGTGGATATCTAACCAGAATATACAATTAATTTATTTTTAAAAGTGTAGCCAGAGCATTTAGGACACAGAATGAAACACATCCAAGATATCTTTTAATCCACAGAGAAGCCAAAGAACTAACAAAAGGGCAATGTGTTTTAGAGGCACGTATTGCAAAACAGTAACATAACCAACTAAATATGAGGATTAGATACCTTTTCTTCAGGTATACTGTAACGCACATTTTCTAAAAATACTGATGTATTTTCCACATTTGTATATCGTAAAAGAATATGAGCAAAATCTTCTTCACTGATGGTATTCATTCCATTTGAGTAGGAAAGGAATTCTATTTCTAGAACTTCTGTTTGGAGATTATCCATGAATCTATGACAAAAATGTAATAAAGAAGGAAAAAGATAAAGAAAGAGTAATCGTAACAGGAGATGAGCAAATACTCACTGTCCTAGAAAAGGTTATATGGAAATAATTGTATGATGATGCAAAGATTAATAAAGTTCCTCCCTGTAAATGAGAATGAAAAGAACACACGATCGCTTTACTACTTAATGACTGTAGCACCCAGGGCAAATAACCTAGCCTTTCAGGGGTTTAGTTTCCTCATCTATAACATGGGGATAACAAAAGTACCTTGCAGAATAGCAATGATACTTAAACTACTTGTTACTATCACTGCAGCTTATTGAGACAAGGAATTGGCAACATACTTTCTTCTGAATATACAAGAGATAACAATCAATCCAGATATCTGGAATTTTTTTTTTTTTTTTTTTTTTTTTTTTTTGAGACGGAGTCTCGCTCTGTCGCCCAGGCTGGAGTGCAGTGGCGCCATCTCGGCTCACTGCAAGCTCCGCCTCCCGGGTTCACGCCATTCTCCTGCCTCAGCCTCCCGAGTAGCTGGGACTACAGGCGCCCGCTACCACGCCCGGCTAATTTTTTGTATTTTTAGTAGAGACGGGGTTTCACCGTGTTAGCCAGGATGGTCTCGATCTCCTGACCTCGTGATCCGCCCGCCTCGGCCTCCCAAAGTGCTGGGATTACAGGCGTGAGCCACCGCGCCCGGCCGATATCTGGAATTTTTAAAAAAATTCAGTAACTTCCTGTTATAATTATCAATATAACCACTGGTATGTAGGTACTGATAAATGTGGGTATTTATTATACAGAGGATCTTATTTAAAATTAAAGTAACAAAGAGGTGAGTATTGCTGTACTAGACAATTTCTAAAGATCCTTCTGATTTCAGTAGGCTAATAATTTTTAATAAAAATATAAAAATAAGCTCACCTATAAAAATCTTCAAAGTTGAGCTCAGCTTTTCCTTTCTTTCCAAAAAAGTGTACAAGAAGTGTAGTATCTGTTACTAAACTTGTGATGTCATCAGCACGCTTAAAAAAAAATCACAATTTAAAAGTTAGCTTCAATAAAAGAAACAGAATAGGGATACCCAATATTTCTCAAAGAATTCTGTTATCAACATACAAACATCAAGAATGTAAATATATTAATATTAGAATGAAAAACACAGGCATATTAATACATGCAATTATAGTTAAAATAAAGCTCACATTTTAAAAATAGAACTTTGAATGGAACTGATCATTGTACTCAAAAATTTTTGAAGATGTGATTTAAGAAATGTTTAATCACAAATTATGCATATAGGATTCTATCTTTTAAATTATCTAAAATAATTGAAATCCTTTAATAATCATCTAAATATTCTATTTTTATTCAAGTAATTAGTTTGGATTTTCCTAATCAATCTGAAAAATCTGTTTTTTTAAATGATGTTCCAAAGAGGTAACCTCTTCAGATATACTGAATAAATGGAGCTGACAAAAGAAAGGTCCCAAGCTTCACAAAACAGCTTCCTTTAACCACTGTATTCCACAGTTATGATACTTTAAATGGATACTGTATTTGGAAAGAGAAAAACTAAAGTAATAATATGACCTTGAAAATTTATATGATCTATAATTTTTTCAAAGTCTTACGTAACACGTCAAATGGATAAAAAATTAATTCCAGAGGATTTTTGCTTTCCCACTCAATAAACTAAGTTCTAAGTATTTTCTTAAAACTGCTTGGTTATAGTCCTTATAAAGTATAATGGCCTATGAAAATCATCCACCTTCCTTTAATATAGCTTTATAGATCTTCCTTTTCTCTCCTTCCCTTCCTTCCTTCCTTCCTTCCTTCTCCAGTTGGCCATTAACTCATTTCATAAACTCAGGTACAAAAAGCATAAAATTCAAAGGACTATAACTCTCCTACACATCATCCTAGGAAATGTGAAAAAAGAGTTTAAATAATCCTATTTTTTATTCAAGAAAAATAGCTGTAGATAGGCACATCGTTTTTAGCTTTTTGTCCAGAACTCTTATAGTACTCCATAGAAAACATAAGACAGAAAACAAATACTTCTCTACAAAGGATCAGTCTTCTGTGGTTGCTGACCAAAAGTCTCATTCACCCATATACTAAATTTTCATATTCCTTTAATTCCTCATAGCCCTCTTCCTAATCTTTCATAAAGATGGCAATTTTGTCCTTCATAACATTTGTTAAATCTTTATTTCCTTTCTCCATGGACCACATCTTCTTCTCTTTTAATGATTAAAATGGAGTAACAAAGACCACACCTGATTTCCCCTGCACATGTCCCCTTTTAATGCATTAAAATCTGTTTCTAAAGTGACTAATTATTCACATGTCTTAAAAACTCCAGCATGTAGGGTCATCTGTACTTTAAATTATCTAAAATTGTTGACATTCTTTAGTAATCGACTAAATATTCTATTCACATTTAAGTAATATAGTTTAGATTTTCCTAATCATTTCCAGCATATAACCTCCTTGTCATTGTTTGGTAGATCTCTACTACTACTTCTCAGTTTACTTTGTTGAGAAATCCCAAGAATTCTCCATAGCTGGAATACCTGAGAAGTTGTCTACAATAAAACCAACTTCTTTGAGGATTTGATAGTAGTTTGATCTGTTTGCCGGGAGGAAAAAAAATACAGCCAGGTAGCCAAGTGTCACATACTATGTTTTAAATGCATCTTCTTGAATAAGCTTCTTATGAAACTTGAGGGATATTAGTGGTGCCAGTCTTGTGGGGCTCCATAAGTGAGGGGAGACTAGTATAATTGGAGTAGCTCTCAAAGGCATTACTGTCCCCAGAACTTTAAGTTGAAGAGGCAGCCTGCTCTAATAGAACAAAATTTAAAATTAGAAGACATGGGTCACTGACTTTTTTTAACCTTCAGCTTTCTTATCTATAAAATGGGAATAATCCTAACCATAACAACAATTTTGAGGATAAAGTTAAAATATAAGCAAACAAATGTTCTTATTAGTAGTCATAAGATGCAAATAACTTTTGGGAAAAAAGAAATCTGGTATTAATTATAGGCACTCTTTGTGTGATTTAATAGAGTCTAGCTTAATAAGTTTATTATCTTACTTATTATCCGCTTAAATTAGTAGTAGGAGGAAATATTTCAGAGGTTACTCCATGCTCGAGTGGAGCATAAGAGTAGAGGCGCCTCTGTCTGGAAGCTAGAGGAATGGGGTGGGAGGAAAGGAGACAAGAGTAGATCAGAAGGGGGAAATGTTGTTTTTGAAAAAGTTGCTTGCTTCACAAATAGCCAGTACTGTGGTGAGCAAATAAGATGAGTTTAAAAGTCAGACTGCTGGCTTTGAATCCAGGCACTTCTCATTATTTAAGTGACCTTAGAGAAGTTAATCTCTCGAGGATATTACTATCTTAAGGAATAATAATAGTATCTATCCCAAAGGGTTGTGGTAAGGATAACACATTTAAATCATTTAGCCCTCTGACTAGTGTACTGTAAATGCTCAGTAAGTGTTAGCTGTTATTATGTATTTTTGTCAAATATATTTCAGGACACTGAAAAGGGACTAGACACAGAAAAGAATGTTGAATCTTAATGAAAAAAAGATTTTTACATCATACACTCTTACTTCTTTTTTGCTGTTGAAATTACATATTATATACATCTGGAAAAAAAGCCTTAAAATGAGTGGTTACAGGAACACCAAAAGTTAGTGAATTCAGATAACATAATTAAGGAATGTTTTCTTACAGTGTGGGATGTCCTTTTCAAGACACAGTATACTAAAATAAGATGGCTTTGTCTTATACAGGTTTTAAATAATGACCTCATTCGGCCAGTTTTTCTCCTGCCCACTGATCAGAGCAGATCTTCACTTAACAGTCTTTCAGCATCAAAATCTTATGAGATGTAGGTTGCACTTATCCAGATAATCCAGATCCAATGAGGCATAAGTAACAGTGACATCAGAGAAATGAAAATGAAAATGGGGAAAACTTTTCCCCCATTCAGTGAAACAGAGTACTGCTCAGCCACTGAAAACTATACCAGTGTCCTTGGGATCTTAACAGTGTTATGTAACTTACATCACCCAAGGACTGAGAGAAAAATAGAGACTTTATCCCTGTGATTCTTGTGCTCATTGTTAAAATAAAATGAACTCGGGTGTTTTCATAACAAAGGGAGAAAAAGCCACCAAAGAACCCCATGGGCCATTTATTCAAAGGACATTATCTTACTTTGTTTTGATTAAAAACTATTTAAAATGATTTCATCAAAAATAAACTTGCATGAAATATAAA
This sequence comes from Homo sapiens, assembly GCF_000001405.40. Classification (NCBI taxonomy): domain Eukaryota; kingdom Metazoa; phylum Chordata; class Mammalia; order Primates; family Hominidae; genus Homo; species Homo sapiens. The sequence goes on along the minus strand of NC_000008.11, from coordinate 17,101,115 downwards.
TATATCAAACTATTAAAGGGTTTAAAAATATTCTTTTAACATATTTTTATTGATTATAATGTGATAATAACCCTACGAGGTATCGAAGGGCTAGAGGAAATCTTCAAACTTTTGATTTTGTTAATGAAGTTTTTGAATAATCCATTGAAATTTACCAAGAATATGTAATTTAAAGCAAATTTAAAGCAAAATTTTACATTTCATCTGTAGAACTCAAAACAGTGTTTATAATTTTGACACTGACAGACTGTATTCAACAGTTGCACAATATACTCATCATACTGCACTAAGAATTTATTATATATGATTTTGGTTAGAAAGTAGTCTTAGCTCTGATATTCAAATTTTCATTATATGGTTTCACAGTAATTGGAGACACGGAGTTTTACTGTAATTTTAAAAATCTATGGTTAGAAACAGCTCCAGACTAGAATATGAGGGGCTAATAACCCAATTTCCCTATAATAAACAGATTTTATCTCAATAATTACATATTAAATATATAATAAAGAAATACATATAACAAATAGATTTCCAAGCCTTCTTTCTGAACCAATTTGAATCCTGAAATACTAATACTATAAACAATTCTGTGTTCCGCTGGTATTCACAGTAACCTATAAGGATTTATATAATTAGTTGTAACTGAACTGTAGTTAATTCTCAATTATTATTCTAATGTGGGAGGGTAGTAACAGATAAACCCCAAGTAATTATTTTACTCTGGAACACGATATAAGTTTTCTTTTCTTTTCCTCTTTTTCCTTTCTTGATTGTCTCCATCAGATTTACTTTCATGAAATTTGATTCAATTCATTCATTAATTTAGCAGCTTTGGATCAGAGTGTGGATTAATTACAGCCAATAGTGTGCTGGCAAACTGAGTTGTCCGGGAAAAAAAAAAAAGGCTGATTTGTAATGTTGGCCAGTTTCTGTGGTATTCATACTCCTATCACGGCCACTTTCAAGTAACAAAGGGGGTGTCACAGAATGTTGAGTTGGGAAGAGGTGTGCAGAATTAATTAGCTCTGGGAAGCTGTAAAAGCCCACAGCTCCTCCAGTCTATCTACAACAGAACCATATACCTTTTCCAAAGATCTTACAGAAATCATATAATTCTCTGAGTACACAGGAACTGACTGGTTTTCTGATATTAAACTTCCCAAGATTTAAATTAAATTCAACATCTGATTAGCAGATTTTGTCTAACTGAGAATGTCTACCAGAGTTAAATGGGATGAAGATAGTTGGAGGCTGGAAGGTGGATACTCTAGTATGGGGAGAGACAACAATGATATGACTGTTGATTTGAAGCATGGAAACTAGGACACAGTTGACTTGTATGCACTCTAAGAGTCCCAGTTGCTCTTATTTTTAAGCACTGACTACTACAATGTGCCTACATAATGATTACAAAATAAAGTGCTTCTAAAATATCTGTAAAGGGAACATCTGCCACTTCATACCTAATCATGGCTCATATTGAAAAGGTAATTTTAAAAGGTAATTGTTGGTCATAATTACATCACATTTATATATCACAGACATATTAAACATAGGACAAAATACTTTAATTGCTTTGGGACTTTAAAACTGAGCAAGGGCGACAAAATTAACATTTTCAAGTGTTTGCCCTAGTCTAGATATGTCAATAGAGTAACATTGTATATATGGATAACAGAAGTCACAACTGATTCCAGTTTACTTCTCCAGATATTTTCAGGTGTAACTTCTAAAAGTTAAATTTAAAGTTTAGAAAAAGAAATGAGAAGCCCACTGTAAAGAGAAAGAGATAATGAAAAACAAATCTCAGTATTTATTGAAAAGTCTTTTCTGGTAAGACCGCTAGCTGCCTCTAATAAAGTTCTTAGGAAAAATTCTTAATAAGAAACACAAAACAGTTTTTCTAAGATATGGCCCATCTTGAGAAACTAGAAATCTCTATTGACAGTGGTGTAAGAATGGGATAATGGAAGCAGCCCACTCCGATGCAGCAGTACGATGCAGATCTGTAACAAATTCATAAACAGTAATAGAACTGAAATAAGGTCGGTCTGCTTTTTATTTTCACTATGCACTGGCAATCTTAATGTCAAGGTAAAATATTCCTCCCTTCCTTGACTGGCTGTTCCTACCATACCTTCTCAAACTCCCATACCCCAGGCCCTTGGTAAGCCACTCACTATCAATACTAGGAAATTTGTTTAAATCTAACATAACTCTGAAGAGTCAGGTATCTTTTACTGGGGGAAACATTTCAGCATTTCATGTAACATGGTAAATTGTAAGCTTAAAAGATTCAGTGAAACTTTAAAATATATATATTCTAATTTCTAGAAAGTGATCCTTAAGTTAAAAAAAATGCCATTTCCTTTTAATTAAGTTCAACTGTCAAAGCTGATGTATTCAAATACACAGTTTATATATAGTAATTTTTGCTGTACTAAAACAATGGAAAATGTAACATACATGTTGGGTTTCATCACTGTGACTAAAATGAAATGACGACTAGATTAACAAGATGGCAAATAGTACAAGGACCTTGTTGAGGTTTAATTATACCTCTGCGAGGTCTGAAAACAGTGCTTGGCTTGTGTTACGTCTCAGTGTATCCCAATAGCTTCTGGAGACAAGTTCCTCAGCATCTGTTTTAAGTACCTGTAGAAGTTTTAAGAAGCACAACTGAAATCTAAAGAATAGTTACAAAGAATGATAATTTATACACTTTAAATCTAACCAACCTTGAAAAGGAAACACATTAGCTTACCTTTTTTTGTTTGTTTGTTTTGTTTTCTGCTGTGCACCACAGTATTGTATTACACTGCTGGTAACTCACATACTTTCAAAGGTGTAATGGTATATAACCACTATTTGTAAGTACAATGTAGCTTTGTCGAAAAGAATCAAATTCTCCGATCTCTCCTTCTGCCCCTCTACTGAAACGTGTGTAACTTCTAAGAAAGGGTGAAAAAAAATTCTATTCACACCTTGTGTGAAGTAAATTTGTTTGGGAAAAATTTTGGTAACTTTGTAGCAACCTATTAAAAGATACATTATTGCTGGCTATCATTTATCTTGCTAGTGTATCAAAGACTCAAAATAACTTTATCTATACTTTACAGAAACAAAGTTTAAATTCATCCCAAACTTGTCAAAAAGAAATAGACCTGTTTTAAGTCAAAGCACTCAAAACTACTTGAGATTTGGCAGGTGTTTCTATTGTGAATGGTTACGGTACTACTTATTATTTATTACAAGGACAGGATACTAAATTCTGAGAACAGGGTAGTCTGAAGGAGATATCAGGAAGTGTAGATTAAAAAGTGTAGTCTAATCACTCTAGGAAGATGTCAAACTGCAAGCCTAACTTGGATCCCCATAAACAAAAATAATTAAACCCAGTTTCTGTCAGGATTTATCAGGGAAGATTTCACAGGTTCTCAGGTGGTCTTTTGGTTAATGTGAGATGAAATGCTGCATGGTGTACTCAAGAGTGGCTGGATGAAAACAGAACTTTTCTTTCTTTCATTTTGCCTTAATCTTTAAAAGTCCAGTGCTCCTAATAAAATTATATGCATCTAGGAATTATTTCAAAGGTCCTCTAAGTTTCAATTCACTATTACTAACTAGAAACACTGCCCACTGCCTATATTTTAATAAAATCTTAATAAAATGTAAATAAAGTATTATTTAGCAGGAACCATTTACATAACACAGACATAAATATTACCATAACTATAAATGTAGCAAATTGACAGAGAATCTGCATCACTCCCTTTATAATAATATAAGCTTTAACTAAGCAGTTATAAACTAAACAGGGAAGACTAGCTAAATATAGAACTAATACAGTTCATTTTATTTTATATAGATATGGAATAACCTCAATAAATACTAGCTAGATCAAATGATTGATCTGAAAATATTATTCACATATTTTGAATGTGGATGCGTTTTAAAAGTTCAACTCAGAAGGTTAATATGTGATAAAGAAAGGGATTGTTAAACCCACCAAACTAGAAAATAAGGCTTACTGTGCACTACTGTTAGAAGAGTAGCAGGAATGATTCACTTTGTGAAGCCATGCCTCATCCTTACTTCCAAACACTGTCCACAATCACACACACACACACACACACACACACACACACACACACACAAATATATTTAGAACGTATTAAGAACTAAAATTAGTTTAACCAACCATGTATTTTGTGGACAAGAAAAAGAAGTAAATATATTAATTATTTCCAAATGTTGGGGTTAGGATATTTTAAATTTTCTTCTTGCTTTGCCATATTTGAAAATATTTTGAAAATGTGTATTTATCTATTAGGATAATATACAACTTTTCAAATTTAAAAAATCTTATTTAGAACGTAACAGTTTTACAAGTGTCCTGCTGCAGAAAGCTTTCTGGTTCATCATTTAGCCTCAGGGATTAAACAATGCTAGGATATACTACTGAATTGCTGTAACTGGATATATTTGTTTTTGTTTTATCTTACATCATCTTTTAAATAATTATAAAGTTTCTGAGGGCAGAAACAACATCCTTACAGCAACTACTGCTGCAGGAAAAAACAGCTAATAAATCAGTGATATGCCTGGCACACTCACTGATTCCTATATATGTAACTGTTCTGGAGACAGTTTTAAATGTTTTAAACAATTTGAACGATGAAGTTAAGAGCACATTCTCAGAATATGCAAACTAGTAGGAAGTTTTATCACCACGAAAATATAATACAGTAAGGATATTTTACATAAGCTTAAAGTAGCAATGAAAGTCAGACTAGATTTTAATAGCAAGAAATGCAAAGCAAATATAAAACCAGAACATATCTATGCATACAGGCTAAGTAAGGAAAGGCTGACAGAGAAAAATGCCCAGGTGTAACTGGACACTTTGATGGCTGTGAAACAGACAACTATGATGCTTTGATATGTAAATAGTAGACCAATACGCAAAGACTTCCTGAAGTTTTCTCGGTTATCTTTGTTTGCTATCTGAGCTACTGGCCCCTTTACCAGATGTCATGTAAAATGTGTAGACCTTCATTAAAAGAGGTAAAAGAATATACAGTTAGGTAGCCCAGAACTTCACAAGTGAAAGGCACAGCCAAAATGATGTCCTGCATGTAGTGTGCCCTGTAAGTGTGACACATTTTTTGCTTAAGTTCAGAGTCTGTTATTGATAGAACTTTCTTACACTTTGTAATTTTGGTCAAAAGCGCCCAGGGCATTTTTGGCTGAGCCAAAGCAGGATCCCATTCAAGGCATTCCATGCCATATATGACTGAAAGGGAGGAAGGCAGCAAGAAAGGAAGGAGACAAAAAAGGAAGGGAGGAAGGAAAGAAGGAAATAAAGAGGGAAGGAGGAAAGGAGGGAAAAAGGCAGTTAGGAGGAAAGAAGATTGATTTAGAGATGGTTAATATATCACTGTGCTAAGCAGAATAATGGCTCCCTAACGTTGCCCATGTTCAGAGAGCCAAATACCCTGTCTGAATAAAGGGTCTAAGAAGGTTCTATTCAGAGATTAAACAAACTAGGGGAAAAATAAAGTAACAGCCCATAGGAACAGATAGTAAACTGTTTTTGCTATTAGTGATATTTAAACACAGACAAACACACACACATATTAAAACTATATCTTTATAATTCGTGTCACTATGACAACCATGGCCCTAAAAACTGTAATCTGAGACTTGTTATTTAAAGTTACATGGCACTGCACCCTAGGTATATCATAGGAAAAAAAGAAAAAGAAAACTGAATACAATCCTCCCAGGAAGAATATATCCTTAATCTAGTCCTTAAAGAATCTGAACAGAGACTTTCCAACAATTGTATGCCCACAACACAAAACTGCTAAAGACAAAAGAACATAAGCCACCCTAAGTGAGAGCCAGCAGAAACAAACAACAGAACCAGATGTGCAGACTTCCAATAATGAAATGCTTAGATATGGAATACAAAGTAACTTTGACAACTTTGAAAAATATGAAGCTAGATTTGAAAGAATTATTCAGGAAAAACAGACTATCAAAAATTGTTTTACTCTTAAAATAATAGTCAAATAAAACTCTTAGAAATTTAACCGCTGAAATTTAGTATCAGATTATATATCTCTAGTAGAATTAATGAACCGGAAGATAAACATGAAGAATTATGCACAATGCAGCATGAAAAGATAAAAATACGGCAAACTGTTAAGGAGAAATTAAGAGGCATAGAAGAATGAGTATCTTTTTAATATTTGGTGTGATGAAACAGGAAGCGTGCATACAGCACTACTGCTGCATGCTGAAGTACCATGGTTGTCTTAAGAAAGAACACCTGTGTGATGGTTTGTGTTGCAAGCTGAACTAGCCACTTTTTTCATGAGCCACCACTTTTACTTGAAAGAACAACTAATAGACAAACCATGGTTATTCAGATTTCAGTACCTGGTAGACATTTTTTTTTTAAAATGAACCAAGCGAGAGCCTGTCACTTGAAAGTAAACAACTGACAGTATTTATTGCCAAAATAACATATTGCAACAGATCGAATGCAAAACAGCTACGAGAAACCAGCTGTCTTCTAGTAAGCTAGACATTAAAGAGATCTGCAAAATATGTAAAACAATATCACTCTTCTCACTATATTTTTGAAGTTGTTTTTCCTACATTAAAATGTTTATGTTAACATATGAGTTTTTAAATTATTGTTTTAAAACAGACTAATATCTTTAAATTCTCAGTTTTAACTTCTAATATGGTAAATACATAACATATGTAAACAAAATATCTTTTGGATCCTCAATAACTTTCGACAATGTAATGGGATCACAGACCACAATGCTTGAAAGCCACTGTTAACAGCAAAAAAAGTGAATTAACTAGGACTACATACAACATAGATGAAACTGGCAATCATGACGTTGGGTCCAAGAAACGAGACAGAAACATTCATATAACATGATGCCAGTTACATAAAGTACAAAAAGGGGTAAACTACACTGTTTAGGATGCATAAGTAGGTGGTAAAACCACAGAACAAAGCAAGTAAGTGATTTACATAAAAGTCATGATTGTGTTTATCTTTTGAAGGACATTGAGGGATTATGAGTGGGGACACACATGAAGGGGATTCGTGGTATATGGCAATATTTTACTTCTTGATCTATACTATGGTGGTTATAATTTTATCATTATTTATTTTATTGTATATTTACGTTTTAATTATAGAAAATTTCTGAACTAAAATATATTTTAAAAATCAGGGAAAGCTTCATCATCACTACAGGAAAAAACAGTAAGTAGTACAAAACATTAAAATAGAGGTAGGTAGTATATTCATTCTGATAACTAAAAGAGATTTTACGGCAAAAAACATTTCTAGAGATCTAGGGATAGCATATAATAGAGGATTCAATTCACTAAGATGATATAAATAATCTATAATCTTATACAGGTAACAACAATTCAAAATACATAAAACAAAAATTAAGAAAACAGTAAGTAGAAGTTAACAAATCTATTGTAATGTGTAATTTAACATACTAATTGACAAATCAAGCAGACAAAAACATTAGTAATGACAGAGAAGATTTAAAACACATAACTAACATGCTTGGTAATATACATCTGTATATATTACACAACCCTGTACCCCAAACTGGAAAATACACATTCTTTTCAAATACAGATGATTTAAGAATATTGATATTGTTTTAGTCCATAAAAAAGTCTCAATATACACCAAAGAATTGGTATAAAAACTGGTATGTTTTCTGTCAGCAATGAAACTAGGAGAATTTAGAATAATCTTCTAAAAAAATCCTCTAATACATGCCAAAGTCAAATGTACTTGGCTTTTGGCATTATTTATCCTTTTGAATTTCTGTACTTCTTTTCATCACTGTGCAATGATGAAATTAAGAGTTGACCACATGAGAAATAGGAAAAGAATCACGGTTATTTGGAACAGAAAAGGTTATAAGGTAACAGCTCTCTTCATGAATACAAAGGTGTATGCTCAGTTTTACACTGTAGCAGGAAATAACGTGATGGAAAATAGGCAGCATCTACTGTAAAAGTGATTAAATTTTGGAACAGTTCACTACAGAGACCACAGAGTCTCTATCTCCATAGTAAAAAGCCAAGCGGGTCACTGCTTTCCCTGAGGAAACTTCTTCCTAAAGGTAGAAACTGGCTCTTATAAATCTCTTAGTTTATATCCAGCTCCATGATCTATACTCAGATTAGACACTTGAGTTAATTTACAACTCTGGAAACTAGCAGATAATTGCTAGTTAATTCACAACACCATACTAATAGATTTGTATAATACTTGTATCAATGATATTTCATATACATTTTCAGGATGTTGGAATTTTTTTCTAATTGTAAATGAATGTCCCTTGTTTGCTTGTAGTTTATGAAAATAATAACTCCTTAATGAGCAAATATTTTTCTATTATAGGAAATTTAGTTTATCTAACCAAGTAAACTCATAGAGGAGTTGAAAAATCCTGTAATATTTTAGACTATGTAAAAATGACATCAAGTTACATCACTTTAATGTGTGCATTTTACATGAGAAAAAGCTGATTTCTATAAAATGAAATAAAGAAAAAATATTACAATAAAATGTAAAAATCATAATTTTTTATTTAACAGGCATAATATAAATAAAATTTGCGATTTAAGTCTGCTTCTCAATATTGTCTTAATGTCTCAGTGACTGCAATTTGCATATGTAGTTTAAACTAGAGCAATATTAGGATCTATTTTCTTTTAGCAACGTTATTCTGAGACGTATTTTTCTAAAAAAAAATGCATAATGACCCTATATGAAAACTGCTTATGAGATTAAGGGAAAAATAAAAATTGTCAAAGTTAGAAAAATGGTTCATACAGTGATGACATATTACATTAGAAAAATAAATCATAGGTCAGGCACAGTAGCTCACGCGTGTAATCCCAGCACTTTGGGAGGCCGAGGTGGGTGGATCATGAGGTCAGGAGATCAAGACCATCCTGGCTGAAATGGTGAAACCCAATCTCTACTAAAAATACAAAAATTAGCTGGGCATGGTGGCATGTGCCTGTAATCTCAGCTACTTGGGAGGCTGAGGCAGAAGAATCACTTGAACCAGGGAGTTGGAGGTTGCAGTGAGCTGAGATCATGCCACTACACTCCAGCTGGGCGACAGAGCAAAACTCCATCTTAAAAAACACCAAACAAACAAAAAAAACCCCCATAAAGTCCTAAGTAGTATATGGCATATGGCATTATAATCTGTGAGATTTTCATCTTACACATTCCAGAAATTGTTGAAATCATTAACAGAGTAATCCTTTAAAAATGTAAAGGAAATGACAGGCTTTACTTAATGGAAAAGAGTAGTGATTTCTGTAGAAAAAATTTAAAGTATCTTGTAAGTAAACAAAACAATTACTTATATGGATCCTATGGACTTGGCTTGTTTCTCTACCCATTCCAGGTCCATTTTGTATAATGAGGAAAAATATCTTAGGTTTAGTTTACAGGGATCAGCCTCCAGTAGCTGTTTAAATCTGTAACAGAATTAGTTTTTATAGTTTGGAATTTTGATTAACTATCCAATACAGGAGACAATACACCTACTTTTAGAATTGTACACTACAACTAGAATACTTTTAGCAGGATAATATTAAATCAGTAACCCTGAATTCAAGGGCTCCTATGGTGGAATTTGCAAAAATTGAGGGATCCTTGCAGGAGGCTTAAGGATCCTTGGGGAAATTAAGTGAACTGCACATGTTTACATTCAAAAAGGGCCATGGCCTGTTCTCCTTTAGCAGCTGGGCTAACCAAAAGTGCTGACTTTCTCAGGAGAAAAGAAAGAAGAAAGCTCAGCATAAGAAGAAGGGTACAACTGGAAGTTCATCTACAGAAATTCTCAATTTTTTTAAGACAAGAAAAGTCTGAAAGTCATTATCCTCTTTAGAAATAATATGATAAACTGATATAACATATCAAGTAGCAGCTTACACCAGATTTTTGTGTAGAGCAGAGGAAATGGCAGGAAACAAAGGCTTTGAAAAAAAATTGTGAGCAAAAGTGAAAATGAAAAAAAGTCTATCCATTAAGACACTTATTAGAATTGAACAAAGACTGTACATAAGGTGGATAGATCTGGTTCATAAAATACCTGTGTTCTGCAGGAACATAGCCTGAGAATCTGCTCTCTCTACATAACTCTTCAAATACTGCTAAAAGATATAAAATTTCAATTATTATGTTTTAATTGTTGTACACTTACCTTTTCCTTATTTTAATCTAAAGTTAAAGATATATAATTATTCTGCATATTTTAGTCTTCACATAAATCTAGGAATGAAATGTAACATTATGGCTTCATTGCACCTATTGTGTTCAATAAATTCCAAAACATTCTATTAGTAAACAGCAGATATAGCTTTATATAAAGAAATAACATTATCAAGTATAACAGGTGAGGGCTATATACATAAAGAACATTTAAAGTATTGTACATACACTATTAGTAGGAGAATGGTATCCATAAAGTTGAAGACGCTGACATAGAGCACAAAGGGCCAAATGAAGTGTCATATTTCAGAATGAACCCAAGTACAGCAAAAGAAAAAAGGAAAAAGACGACAAAATAATCAATTAGGAAGGGCAAATCATTATGCTACATTTTATATAGAGCACACGAACAATACAAGTGGGATAAATGTTAAAGATGAGTAGCAAAGTTTTAAAAATCTCAGATAATTAAACATTAAATGAATTTTTGCTCATTTCAACCATTTCATTATAACCTTCTAATAGAACTACTGCTTTGAGTAAAACACGTTGTCCTGAAGTATGCGGTTTGATTTGGACATGCTTCCGCAATGCTACATGGCATAGGGGGAAATCCAGATGCAGCAGCAAGGCAGTGGAAATGGTATGAGAGACCTGTGCTGGAATCCTGCTCTGCTGTGATCAGTGCTGTGACATTAGGCACATGAATCTCTCTAAGACTGTTTTCTCATCTCCAAGCAGGTATAATACTTACCTGGTAGAACGGTCATGAGGACTAAAGGGGAGTAACATTAACAATGAGTATAGCATGGAGCTTAGCACATAAGTGTCCCAAGAAATGTTATGTTCACTTCCCTTTTCCCTTCTGAATCACAGTTTTATTTTGGCATATAAATATTTTTAACTTTAGTTTTGATTTAATTTTTATTTAGGTATGTTAAGATTCAGTTTAAAGTAGCTACATGGTTCTACTAACTAAAGAATAAGTTTCACTACTAGCTAACCTTTTTGAGTGTTTATTACATTTCACATGGTTAAGTAGCTATGTGCTTTAACCTCCATACCAATCACATGTGGTCATTACTCCTAATGCCCCCATCGTACAAATGAAAAAAAACTGAGGAACAGAGAGGTTAAGGACATTGTCCAAGGTCATCCAGGTAATGAGTGGCAGGGCTAATACTCAAACCCCAAAAATCTGGCTCCTGAGCCTGTGCTATGCTCTCTCTCTTATGTAATTCATATATTTTCACAATAAGTTAAATTTTAATTGCCTCAGAACTCAGCCAAACTATTCTAAGAATATGTGGAATCATATTGTCATTTCTATCACCTTGATAACATCACCTTACATTTTACATAATGTTTTCTAAGTAAAGTAGTATAACTAAAAAAAACTTTAAAACTAAAATCTTTGATAACTAAAGTAATATAAAATAAAACCTCCCTGGTTCAGATTTGCATTATTTAAAATGTGATTAACAATGTTAACACTAATTATCATTATTGCTAAACACAGTAATGACTATTTGGAGAGCTATAGTGTAAAGTGCTGTTAGTTCCAAAGTTGTACTAAAGATTATTTCTGAATTGTTTTAAGGAAGAGCTCTGATAGCTACATTATAAAAGTAAGATTTTAGAAGCGCTATTTAAGTTACATAAAACGAATACTTCCGAGGTACCTGTGGATATCAAAGACTTTAGTAAGCATTCGTTTATAAATAAACAAATTATATATTATATTACTTAAAAGTTATTTTAATCTGTTCTTTAAAACAAATCTCCTTCTCCATATATTTGAAAGGGAATGGTTCATTAACCCATATAAAATAAAATAATACAACTTAGGGTATGCTGGTATAATTTAGATTATATAATTCAGATGGATTTTCCCTAATTAATCTAAGTTAATGATGTTTTACTCTATCACTATTATAAAATATTTGCATTAAATCAATATTAAATTTCTTATACCTTGGCTGCAGTGACGCTCAGAGCCAAATTTTGTGCTAACACTGTAGGTTTTCTCAGTGTGCATTGTCTGCTAATATTTTTCTCTTTTTTATCTCCCTTTATTACTTGATGGATGTATTAATAAATGTTAATGACCAGAATAATACTGTATTTTTACTGGAAGATGTGTAAGTCCTCTCTGGAAGTAGTATAAATAAACAAATAAATAAAACAATTATATTTATATCCACTGAAATACTATCTACTTTATCATTAAAGTATATCAATAGATTCATTAACATTATTCAGCCTCCTTAAATAGTATTTTATTAACAACTTGCCTATTCAGTCAATTATAGTTAGAGGTAATATATCAAAATTAAAATAACTGTTTACTCATTTAGTATATTATTTACAAGAAATAAAATTTAAGAAAGTATTCAATTCTCTAGTCTTCTTTGCTAATACTCTAAACAGTTGCAATTATGGGGCTATTCATGTAGGATTTATTAATTACAATTTGAAAATCATGAGACCTGAATTAAGTAGAGAACTACTACTGCCCCTTTTGATACTTGACTAACATTACAATGAACTCTTTGATTTTTTAAGACTGTCTTCCATAAGCTTTGTCAATAGTATACTGAGGGATGTTCAATGACTACTAAGAATTATAGCATGGTCAAATATCCTGTAAAGCAGTATGTGCTATATAATCCTGATAATCTGCTTTCATTCAACTAAATATAAACGTACACTTCATAAATATATTGGGATTGAATATGGCACCCATCTGCTATAGATAATAATCTATGTTAAGAAAAACCTAATACATATTCTTATAAAAATGAGAATAATAAAAATAAAGTTTTAGCTCTCTGAAGTTAGTTATCTGAATTCTATGTAGGACAATTAAACTACTGCACAGGGCCATCAATTTGCAAATGAAACAAATGTCATTTACATGCCAACAAAATTCACTGTATTTCTGGTTATCTAAGTATCAGACAAAGAAATATGTCACAATGGATAAAAGTGAGGTTTTGGAGTTGGCCAGACACAGGTTCAAATCTTTGGCTTTGCCATTTAATAACTATGTAACTTTGGACAAGATACTTAACCTTCCCAATTATCAGTTTCCTCATCTATAATTATGGATACTAAGAGAATTGTTGGGTAGCTTAAATCAGAAATGTATGGAAAGCACCTAGTATAGTGTCCGTTTGTAAGGTCTTAGTACCTGTTTGTTATTTTTATTATGTGAACCTGGCCTATGGTCAGGCTGAAATACTTCAGATAAAAAGAAAACTGGTTAGGAAGATGGAGGGTAATGTTGCTTAACTCTAACTTCAGAAAAAGATGAAAATATTATATATCCCAGAAGAAGAATCTCTAATATATACATCTAAGAATGCAAGAAAACATATCATCTCCTTCTATTCGTTTCGACAGTCACCTTGTTATATTACCACTAAATTCTCTCACATTATAATTAAATCTTTGCAATTCACCTTTAAATTTTTACATGCATAATGATCTGTATTAATCTATTGTATGATATACCCTTCAAATCTCACAGATAACAATATGGATGAAAATGATTTAATGAATGATTATGGATACAAATGTTTAATATCAATATTTGAAGTAAATATTGATATCAATGCATATAAATACTGAAGCAATTTTTCTACATAAAAACTTTACAAAGTTTTCAAGAAAGGGACAGCTTCAAAGTTACAAACTTTAATTATTGTTTCTTAACATGAATAAAATAATTGTTGCCTACAAAAGCCACCTAAAGCTACTATAAAGTATTCTTACCAGCATTGCACGCTTTTCTTCATCTCCTTTAATTTCTCTCTTTTCATTTTTTTTCCTGAATATCTCTTGAAGCTGACAAAGAAATCAATCAAGAATCAAATATCCAACAAGAGTTTCTGGGCACCTATCTACTATTCTGGACTAGGTATATTCCAAAAACAAAGAAAACAGCTTCATCCACCAAGAACATTTAAACTGCTATAGATCTATTTTCTGATTTCAGTTTTTTCCCCCAAGAAGATATATCCTTTGGTATTGGTAACCCATAATTAAGTTAAATGTACTTAATGTCACAGTTTTACTTTTTCTCTAAAATGCAGACATCCACACAGGCAACTTCCAAAGGAGTGAGTTCCAAAAGTTAATCTTTTACTTTAAGTCAGGGGGATGGAACTTGGCAGTATGGACATAGAACGTTCTGCAGAAAAACAGGCCCATTCTGAAAGTTCCTAAAATACAGTTGTGTACCATCATAAGAAAGCAACACTAACCTTGGCCATTTTCGGATGGCAGAAACACATCTATATCTATTGTAATCAAATTGAAAACCGCCATCTCCCCATCATTCTGCAAAGCACTGGAATGAAGGCTCCAGCTCCAGTGGCTTGGCTCAGGGACTACACGTGGGCAAGGGCTGCGTGGGTGAGAGTTTAAGCCTACTGATAAATCCCAGTAATCAGTCTGCTTGTTTCCCTTTGAATGGCTACTAGTTAGCTTCTGATGAGGATTTTTATATTTTCTCTTTCCTACTAAGAAAAAGAATGATGTCATAGACTTCCTCTGAGTTTCAGCTTCTGAAGTAAATATGAAGCTCTTTCAGAGGTTTTCTGAGGAATTTTTACAGCTATGTTACAAAGGAAAAGTAGAAAATAAAATGGCTGTTCAGGAGGTAGGGCCATAATTTAAAAAGAAAACAAAAGAAGAAAAGAAAATGGCTGTTGATTTCCCTTTCTTTTTACTCGGAGAGTGTAGGTAAAGACAGAGTGTAATATATATGCTAAAAGCAGAGCATGTTACTCTAAGGAATACATTAATAGTATTTTCTATTTCAGAGAAAAAAAATATACTAGGCATTTTGTCACAAAAAGAGATGCAAAATATATGGGTAAAACAAACAGAAAAATTCTGGAAGCAGGGTATGTGAAGTTGAGTGAGCAACTGAACTCACTGTCAGACCAGTGCCAGAGCTGGACCCATCAAAGAAACATCAAAAGGTAAATATCTAAGAACTATCAGCCTATGGTCAAAGATAACAGAAAGGAACAGGGAAGTGGGGACAAGACTGGAATGCAAGGCAGGAGTAAGTGGAAGAGAAAAGAGAAAGAAAAAACATGAATCCCATATTGAGAAGGAAGAGAAGTTCCTATGGAAGGAGTTGTGTGCCTAGGTGGATGACATAATGGGGACTGAATATTAATTGGGCATGTATAACCTGAGGACTGCCTGTTATCCACCCAACAGAAAACACCTGATACATTTCACACTTTTATGTAAGGTAAAAAACAACGATAATCATCATCATACACTGAATGTAATTTATATTTGTAAAATGTAAATATTGTTCAAAGTACCTGAGTATTATACTTTATTAAGTAAAGGCAAAAGCGTAAGTTTTTCACTCTTTTCTCTACAGTAGTACTCCCAATAAGGCAAAAACATAAAAATATAAGTAAGCAATATTTAATTATTGATAAAGTGCAGCATCTAGTATACATACCACCAAAAACTCTTTTTTATCCACCATCTCATTGCCATCAGTGTCAAACATGTTGAAAGCTATTCTGAACCCTGCATGTGGCTCTGCCAGAAAAAACAGAGAAGGTATTCACAAAATGGAAAAATGTATTTTAAAGTACAAAATCCATATTAGTTGTAAAGTTACTCATATTCTGTATTGGTTAAAGATAGTAGAAAGCGTATAAAAGTATATATATTTCTGCTTTATAATTAGTACACTTAATAAAAATTGATAATATACTTTAAAAGTACTTCTGTGATACTTGTTGCATAGCACTGAGAGAAAAATTTGAATACTTTCCTAAAGCACTTCTCTTTTTTAATCCAAAGTCTGTTAGTTTGTTTTAAAGGAAAATATCAACTCGTCACATTTTAAATATATTCAATATGTTCAGCTACTTAGATTGGCAGAAAAAAAACATGACACAATGAACTAGTTCCGATTCTTGGGAAAATTATAACTAAAATGACCTATGAAAATAAATGTCAAGCATAAGACATTATAGTTTAAACTTCTAGAGGCTTCAAAAACAGAAATATAAAACAAAAGAAGACTGAATATGTAATTATCAATTCCCCCAAAATACAAGGAACAATTGCTTTTCTGAAAAAGACTTTCACATACTATGAAGTGCTTCAATTTCATGAACCTTATAATAATGAGGTTCAATCTCTTTCTCCTTTTCACTTCTAGAGCATAAAGGAGAAAACTTGGACAGAAGAAAACTTGAAAGTGTCCTTCAAAGAGCAGCTCAGTGGACGTGCCCTTCTCAAAACACTGGATCTTTTCTTTTGAGATGACCGGGGGGAGGGGTACAAAGTTGAAAAAGGGACCCCCCACAGATACATTTGCTACCACCTGTTGTGAAATGTTGAACCTGCAAAAGAGGCACAGATAGTGTCCTACTTTCTTAACTAGTAACAGCTGTTTCTGAAAATAACAGAAACAGAAGCCAATCCTTTATGCAAGCTCACTTGTTGCATGTATTTCAGAAATCTAATACAAATTTACAACATCTCTAATAACCGAGTTTTACACTTTAAAAAGATCTTGAAAATACATACAGAAAAGAAGTCCTCCTTACAAGCATTGTTTGGAGGGAAAAATACAGTACAAAGTAAAGAGGGAGACACTTATAGATAGGTAACCAAGATTATGTAGCCCACTTCTTGCCAGCCCTCTTTTCACAGTTTTCTTAGTTCTAATGTAAACAATATCCCATAATTATTCAATTCAACCTCCTTAGAAGCTTCTGTTGGTGAGTCCTGAACTCCAAAGGAAGCTTCACAGCACCCAAAGATCCTAACCTTTCTGTGCCAAAACGCACTATGTATGTTTTTTCTGACCCTCCTAAACTATACCCTGTCCCATCTCAACAATTGGCTACCCTAGCCAACACTTCTTATCCTTGCCTATCACTCTGCTGGTTTAGGTACTTAGCTTAACTTCTAATATCGGATCCATCATTGTTTTGTCAAACAAGGTAACTTTTCAACACATCTTTGAGACACTCCTTTGCACCCTCTCTCATTCTCAGGATAGCATCATTGACTGGACTTGCTTCATTACTATGGCTTTGCAGAATGGATCAACCTCAGGTAGCCCTATTACAAAAGGTACAATACTAGTTCTTCAGCACTAACATTTTAATTTCATTTAAAGTCTGAAACTGCCATTGCAAAATTATAATGGAGACAGTGAAAGAGATCTGACTAACCAACTCCATCTTGCTTTAATCTCCAAGCTGTGTTTGTTCATTCAGTTGCTTCTTGTTTAGTTAGGCCAAACTAACTTTGGGAGGAACTTAGTTTATAGTTTAAAAGAAAGATGATAAGCGCTCTTTCCCGTAACAAACCTCCTTCTTGCCTGGGGACTAGATTGCCTTTGTAGGACTAACAAATTAGCCACAAGATTAGAAATTATGGTTTAGGAGTCATGCAGCTGGAGCTACAAGATTCTGACCCTCCCTAAATTGCTCCTGGGGATAACATCACTATTGTAAAACCTAAGACCTATGCTTGAGATGTTTTGCAGACCCCACACTTGATGGATCAGCTGTCACTACACAGAGCGATAAACTGGCTCATCTGGTCTTGTGGTCCTCACGCAGGAACTGACTCAGCTCAAGAGAAAAGCTTCAACTCCCTATGATTTCATCTTTGACCCGACCAACCAGAGCTCCTGACTCACCCACCCACTACCCACCAAATTATCCTTAAGAACTCTGATCCCTGAATGCTCGGGAAATTCATTTGAGTAAAAATAAAACTCCAGTCTCCTGTACAGCCAGCTCTGTGTAAATTACTCTTTCTCTGTTGTAATTCCCGTCTTGATAAATTGGCTCAGTCTAGTCAGTGAGCAAGGTGACAAGTCCAAGAGAAAAAAATATTTTTTGAAATACACATATGTGAGTGCATGTACACATTCCTTGTTCTCAAAACTTACTGTAACAGAACTCAATGTTAACGTCATTCCTCGCTAAGTTACAAAGTTAAGAATAACACAGTGGTGTGAATTTTTTAATCAAAGAAGTACAAGGTATTTTTAGATTGTTTCTAATGACAGAGTTTTACTGATGTTCTTGTTTCCATGCATCTCCACATATCTCCACAACTGGAAATTCCACTAGCAGTATTCTTTCATGTATTCCTTTCTTCATTCATTCACTAACTACTTTTTGGAAGGGTACCATGTGCGAGACACTGTTCTTGATACAGAGATGAACAAAAAAGAAAAAATCTTTGCCATAATGGACCTTGCATTCAAGTGTGGGGAGACAAGAACATGTAAACCAATAATACTTTCAAATAGTCTGATATGAAGAATATGCAACGCAGTAAAGAGATACAAAGAGAGAGGGAGCTATGTTAGAGAGGCTGGCCAAGTAAGGATTTGCTAAATTTTCACATTTGAAAGGAAACCTAAATGATGTTTATTATCACGGGGATCTTGAGGATAAGTACTGATGGCACAGGAAGCAGAAGGTACAAATCCCTGAGGCGGCAATTCAAGGAATAGAAAGGCCAGGTGGCTGGAACACAGTAAACTATAACAGATTGTCTCCATTAAATGCAAAGAAATTTAACTGAAAACATAGTAAACCCTTCATATATTTCCTAAGAAATGCTGCACCTGACAGGGAGAAAATAGAAGTTTTAGATGTGAATGATGGGTATTCTGATAGACTCAATAGTTAAGAGACACTCTCTCTCACATCAGTCTGGCAGAAAATATGATTCAAATGAGTACAGTAGGGAATTTATAAATTATTACATGTCATGACCTTTGGAGTCTGAGGTAGATTAAAACCACAAGAATTGACACGTAATATTAAATTTATAATTTATGAGCATTTATTACTATACCATAAGCTGTAGCATTTATGTTTTTGACTCTTTACAGTGCTATGCTTAGCATTTTTCTGTAGCATTAAACATGAATTTTGCAGAACAGCATGGATATTGATTTTCAAGAGTAAGAGAACCTAAGATCTGCTTTCCAAGATTCGTTTAAAAAATAAAGCTGCATCCAGAAATAAAAGCAATAAGTATACTTACTTGTTAAAATACATAAAAGAAAAAGATATTCTGTGTAAGAAATCACACCTACAAGAAAAATAGTATCAGTTATATATATAAAATATTGTTCTAGAAGCAATAAATGCTATAAATAATGAGCTTGTAGTTTAAAATAGATGCTAGATATTATTTTAAATGACAATCATTATTATAAAATCATAACAAAAGAAGCAACAAATTTAATTTTACTTTAATTGTTCCACATGCCTTTGTAGATATCCATATAAAATCATTATGCTCTCAAATATATTGGCAAAAAAAGCAAAATTATAATGCATACGTATAGCAGTAACTTTTAAACTTGTTGCTAGTTTCTAATGTACGACTCTTAACACAAAATAAAAAAGTTGTCAAGTCCAACAGAGCTTAAAGGAAAAAACAAGTAAAAATAAAAAGGTTGGAAATAGTTAATTAACACTGTAAAGTGCTTAATTACTTTTTAGTAACACTTGGATAAAACACTTAGACCCTGTTACTTAGAAATGTGATGTTTCGCATTTTAAGAGTAAAGCTCTATAGTTACCACTTTTCTGCTTTCAAATTATCTTCAATGCTTCTATTAAATGTACCCTGAGGAGTTTTTATTGTAATTAAATGGCTTATACTTTCTGTACATCGCATCCTGAGTTCTCAGTAACTCCATACTTGCAAATTTCAAAAGGAGTGCTTTTGAAGTAAATAAAAAAGTGCATTCTGTTACTTGAATTCTTGCTTTTGGAATACAAAACCCAAAACTAGATTTAGTGCTTCAACTGACCTTCCAAGTAGATACTGAGAAGATTGACATCAGTAATCTGTATCTACAATACTTATTTAGATATCAGATAGTTCTGACGCTTGGTAAAAGGGTATAAAAATCCTTAAAATAACCAGATTGTGAACTTTAAAACTCCATTTTATCTGATGTTCTTTGAGGCTGTCTTCTTTGTTACAGAACAAAGAGAAGAGGAGTCACTGTCAGGCAGTTTGTCAGAGACATGAAGGGCACTAGCCAGGAGGCCCTGAAAGCATTCATTCCCTTCTTTTGTTTATACTAGAATATTGTGACCTATAGACAGATAGTTCTGGTTGATTGCCATGAATGTTATGGGAGAAAGATTCTGGAATGGTCAATGTATATAAAGATACAATACTTAAGAGTCTGTAGGGATCCCTCAAAAAATGAAAGAAGAGCATAAAAGAAGGGGCGAGAAAAGGAAATGGGATGGGAAATGGGCATGCTGTCTCCATAATCCCATCTCACTAACTGTTGTTCTAGTTGACCTGGTAGAATACACAAGAGATGTTGGTTGGTATAAAGAACTTTAATAACTGTTATGCATCTTTTATTTGATAGTTAACTCAAGATTTCCCTCAAGGAAAGGACTACTTAATAGTGAGTGTCCAGACCATGAATATCATGGTAGGCGTTTGTCTGTAGGATCACATGGTGATTGAAGTGGCTTAAACCACAGGGAAGAAAAATGAAGTGAAACCCATGATATATTATAATTTAATAAAAATGGTCAAGGAAAAGAGAAAATACTACTGAAGATGAACGGTATATTTTTAATGCTTTCCAATTATACAAACAGAATACTATAAAACTAACTCTTCAATTTATTTATGGCGTGCAGGATCAAAAAATACAAAAAAAAAAGCTAGGCATATAGTAATGGTGTGATCTTTAGAAACAGAGGATAAGAAAGATGCCAACTAGGTTTCTTTCGAAAATTCAATCAAAACAAATTTTAAGGGAAGTTCCTTAAAAGCATTACATGGTTTAATTCCTATACACAATACATTGCAGTTGGCTGTTATAATTAAGTCTCTACAATACATGTTTTCATGAATGCATATCAATTTTTTTATTATTTAAATGCATAACATTTTCTCTCGAGGTAATATTTTAAGTAGATAAACTTACAATTTTAAAATTAGTCTTTAGCCAGGCATGGTGGCTCACACCTATAATCTCAGCACTTTTGGGAGGCCGAGGCAAGAGGACCGTTTGAGTCCAGAAGTTCAAAACCAGCCTGGGCAACAAAGTGAGACTTTGTCTCTACAAAAACTCAAAAAATGAGGGGGAAGAATCGCTTAAGCCCAGGAGGTCAAGGCTGCAATGAGCCATGATGGCACCACTGCACTCCCGCCTGGGTGACAAAATGAGACCCTGACTCAATAAATAAATAAAATAAAACAAAAATAAAAATAAAATTAGTCTTCAATAGCTCTAAAGATTTAGTCTTAAAATTTCTCTGCCACTTAATCGCTATTTAAAAAAAGCAAGGCTCTTCTAACTTCTCTATTTTACCTAACCTAATGATTCTAAAACTTTCTGGGATCATGCATCACCCTGATGATCTAATTAATATGATACAGATACGCATTGTACTACAGGGTGTAGCTATTTAAATTTAAAATACTTAAAATCAAATACAACTAAAAATAAGTTCCTCAGTTACGCTAGACACATTTCAAGTGCTCAACAGCCATATGCGGCTAGTAGCTACCATAAGAGACAGCATAGAAACAGAGTATTTCCGTCATAGTGGTGCAGCATAGATTCTATCCCCTGGGGAAAAAAATGCAAACATGTGTATAACATGAGAAGGATTAGGATATGCCTAAACCTAGGACTTCCAGATTAAACCCTCCCCTTAACTTAAAAAAGGTTCTTTCTTCTATGCATTATTTTTCTCAGATTATATTTGATCCAATTTGTATTTTCCCATGAGGTATATTAAGAAAAATGTTTGAAATTCACCATACTTACTTGATCCTTATGAGCTTTGAATTTTCCTCATCCTATTATCTCACCCTAAGATCTGAATGGCAATCTTTAAGACAACATCTAGGAAAAAAATTTCTAAGATTTTTTTTAAGACACTTTGGCCTAGGTTTCTTGAAGATTTAAAAATCTTACTTATGAAACACCTACAATAAAAGATATGGTGTCTCTTCCTTTCAGATTCTATGTAAACCACGTGGAAGCAATATGAACTTTCTAATTCTACTTAAATAAAATATATGAATTATAACTACTCCTTCAAAGTATTTGTCTTCAGGCTGAAGTACATTATTTTCAAGCCAATATTGGTTAAAATTGATGAAAAGGGAAAATATAACTGCTTATGTAATTTCTTTAACATTTTTATTTTGCATATTCCTGTATTTGAGGATACAAAAAATACATTTCCAAGAAATATTACTTTTTAAGATTAAAAAGATTAATAAATTTTTTCTACAAATGTGTAAAAAGGTACCCTGTAAAAGAAAATTACAATAAAAGCCATATAATTTGATTGCCAGGAAATGTTTAAATTAATGAATTAAGCTAATATTGATATTGATAATAGAGTAAGTTGAAACAGGTATATTTGCAGTAAGTGTTGGCCTTTAAAGGAAACATGTCCAAATTAGGCTGTCAAAGGACACATCCACTAAATTTTTCCTGTTAATTAGTTTAGGAGCATCTATAATTCACTCAGAGCAAAATGGAAGGAAGAAAAATAGACCTTTGAAGATCTAGTATTTTTGTGAAATGTTTTCTTTGGGTAAATATAAAATATACTTTTTGATATGGTTGAAGAACAATTTTTTAAACTATGTAAGTCCAATCTGATATAAAAAAATTTGGAAGATACAAATAATATATAAACAATAACATGAAAACCACCCTTAATGAAGGGTGGAATTACCCAAGAGCAACATTAATACCCAGAAATGTTAATATTTTGCTGTTTTCTTCTTCAGTTTTTTCTCTATGCATACACATAGATGTAATTTAAAAATTATTTTAGGTATGGGAAAATATGCATATATAAATAGTATACATAATATAGTTTAAAAAAAGAACAAGTACTAAGGTTAACTCACCTTTTTCTTTAAGATTTCGAAATAGCTTCGATGAGCCTTTCCAAACTGGTGGTGTTTCTGCGAGCATTTGATTTAATTCCTATGACAGAAGTTATACTACTGATGAATTGGTAAACAACTTACTAATAAAATAGATCAAAAACATGTTTAAATGTCCATGCCAAATTCTCCACTTAAAAGACCTGAAACATGGCATTATTTATCCTATGTTATGCCTGTGGTTCATTCAAGCACACAACCCAGTATTTGCCCACAGTTCAAACATAAAATAAATGATGAAGAGGCTACATTAAATTTAATTAGAGCTAACTAAAATTTCAGATAAGTTGAATAACGGGAGGTTATACATAAGACAACCAAATCAAGATAAAACAGTGAGTTTAAGTCCTGGAGCCAGTTATAAAGGAATCGTTTTAGGAAAATCATGGAAAAACATGGATTTCCATATCAAGGTCGGAGATGGTCACATCACCCGGCTTCACGTAATGTCTCTTCTTTGTAACACATTTGGAATTAGAGAACTTTGTGTAGAGGAAGTAAATGAACAAAGAATTATGTTAGAAAGGAATGAAGAGTATTTTAACGGTTAGTGACTTAGAGAATGATAACAATGGATGAAGCAGAAAGACAAGGGTACTGAGTTATTGTGGTCACTGTTTCAATTTGTTTCTAATTTTAACTTAAATATTAAAGAACACAGACTTCAACTGCTGCTTAGCTTTTTCTTTTTTAAAAAACTCAAACTATCACTGCTGCTCGGAAACTACTGGAGAATTTAGACATTTGAATCATTACTCATATGCTAAATCAATTTTGAATTTATTGTGTATAGTCTGTTAAAAACGACTAAGTGAAAACTATAATTTGATTAATTGTGAAGAAAAATGATTAAAAGACGGTGAGATAACTTGAAATAATTTGAAACAACAAAGTTAGTCTGCTTAGAAACACATTAGACAAACACAGAACCCACTTCTATTTTCAGATCTGACACCCACTCCTCAGAGCATGTGGCTCCCCAATAGTTTAAGCATCACCTGAGAGCTTGTGCGAAATGCAGAATCTCAGTGCCCATCCCAGACCTACTGAACCACAACCTGCATTTTTAACAACATCTTCTAATTTTTACACACATTGAAGTTTGGAAGGCATTTCAGACAAACCATTTCTGACGCAGCTGTACCTAAAAATGCTTTCTGACATTTATAAATCATTTTTGTTTAACTGCAAAGCTGAGCTAGCAGGAAGAAAAATTCTTGGTATGTCAAAGGCAGGAACAGCATTTTTAGGGGATTTATGGACACCTTGAAGCCCATATGTGGATTCTTGTGTTTGTGTTTTTCATGTTTCTGTATCTGCACTGCAGGTAAAAGATGCCAGCAGATAATCAGTGCATCTGATTATAGAATAGGAATGGCACAGAATAATTCAGGTCCGAATTGTAATGAGAAACTGGGATGTTTATTGTTTAGACAACAGTAAACTCAAATATTTTTGTTAGATTGAGAGATTAAATAAAACATTCTGGGTGGGACTCAGTGGCTCAGGCCTATAATCTCAGCACTTTGGGAGGCTGAGGTGGGTAGATCCCTTGAATCCAAGAGTTTTAGACCAGCCTGGGCAACATGGCAAAACCCCATTTCACAAACAAACAAACAGACAAACAATTAGCTGGGCATGGTGGCGTTCATCTATAGTCCCAGCTTACTCAGGAGGCTGAGGTGGAAAAATCACTTGAGCCCAGGAAGTCGAGGCTATAGTGAGCCATGATCACACCACTGCACTCCAGCCTAGGCAAACAGAGTGAGACCTGTCTCAAAAAAATATAAAAAAACTTAAAAAACAACATTCTGAATAAATTTTACATAGCTTAATTTATACCATCTCTATTGTAACTGTATAAATATTAACTAATCTTTCTCCATTTTAACTGTTTCCATGTCTTCCAACCTCATCTGTTCTAACTTAAACTCAGCTACAGTGTAAGACTGAAAAATCAAAGCTAGCTTTTATTGGGTGCCCTCTATGGGTTTGACAATAGGCTCATATAATAACTTCATTCTAAAAACAATCCTCATTATGCATATTTTACTGAGACTTAAAGTGGATAAGTAACACCCAAGGTCACAGAACTAATAAATGACAGAGCCCAGATCCTTACTGACACCAAGTAGCTTATTTTAGTAATAATCTAGTTTCTCCCGGTCTAAATCATCCAATCAACACATTCATCTTGACTTCTCTGTTAACTTTAAGGACCTCTAAAATTTATTAAATTTTTTATATTTCCACCCATGTCAGGAATCTCTCTCCCTCCTCCAAACTCCTAGCTTGGTTTCGTATGTAGCAGTGCCATATTATAAAGAATTTGGCCTTTGTCCCTGGGTCCTAGGAAGCAGACTCTAAATCCTTGGTTCATACCCGAGTTTATGCTAAGGAGATGACTCAGGAGGGGAACTGCTTACCAGAAAGAATAACTGTGATTACAGAGTTGGGGCTTTAGTGAGCTTGACCTCTGGGGAGAAGAGAGAGGCTACAGATTAAGTTCAATCACACAGCCAATAATTCAATCATGCCTATGTAATGAAACCCTAATAAAAATTCTAAGCACTAAGCTCAGAGGAGCTTTCTGGTTGTTGAACACGCTGCTGTGCTAGGACGGTGACACACCCCAACTCCATGTTCTCAAAGAAGGCATAGAAGCTCTGTGTTCAGGACCTTCCCAGACCTTGCCCTCTCTCTTCATCTGGCTGGTCTTACTCTGTATTCTATCTAATAAAACCATAACCATAGGTACTGCATTTTCTGAGTTCTATGATTCATTATAGCAAATCATTAAACCTGAGGGGAGCTGTGGCAACCTCCTAGACTTGTAGACAGTAAGGTCAGAGTGTGGGTGGCCTGGAGCCCCGAAACTTGCAACAAGCATCTGAAATGAGGGCAGTCTTGTTAGGCACCATGCTTAAACTCGGAGTGGTTAGCGTCAGAATTAAATTGTAGGTAGAAAATAAATATTTGCTGAATTAAAGTCAGTCTCCTAGAATTATAGTTGCCTTTTAAAAGAGTTACGTAATTTTCTTAAATAAGTACTATTAAAAAAATTATAGTTAATAGATATATATTATAGAAAAATTAGTAAGTACAGAAAATAAAAACTAATTGTAATCCAGGGATGACAAACTTAAGTTTTAGACTAAAGTTAATTGTCTCTAGGGGTGGCAAGTTAAACACACACACACACACACACACACACACACACACACACACACACGTTTTAACATCATTTTAGTCTGATTCTCCAGCTAGGCATATTTCTATAGTATTTTTGTTGTTGCTGCAAATATTAAATCATTCTCTACATACTGTTTTATAATTTACCCTTTACATTTAATATATTATAGTGAGCATATTTTCCTGTCAAATATTCTTCATTTTTATTTTAATGGCTACACAGCAGTTGTCTATAGTAGCAGTTCTGAAAGGAAACTCTTCACATTCTTAAAAATATTATGGACCCAAAAGAGATATTGTCTATATGGGTTATATCTATCAATATTTAATTTATTTGAAAATAAAAACAAATTTTTAAAACACAATAAAACACAAACACACATTCCATTAGTTGGTAGAGCAATGGCATCATTACCAAACAGCCTCTAGAAAATTCCACTATACAGGCTGGGCACGGCAGCTCACACCTGTAATCCCAGCACTTTGGGAGGCCGAGGCGGGCGGATCACGAGGTCAGGAGATGGAGACCACGGTGAAACCCCCTCTCTACTAAAAATAAAAAATAAAAAAAAAAACCAAAAAGAAAAAGAAAACTCCACCATACACTCATGAGAGAATGACAGTGAATAAAACAAGTATCTTCTCAATATTATGATGAAAATAGTTTTGACTTCATGGACCTTTGAAAAGGTATTTGCACTTTAAATGACTGTCAGTTAATATTATTTTGCAACTTGCCCTTTTACTCAACCTTGTTTTCTAGTTCTACTCATGTTAATACACATAGCTATAATGTATTTATTCATTTTCACTCTGTAATTCTACATTTATCCTGGGTTTCTCTATTTCACAAATTTTTCATTCACCTGCCTGATGATTGACATATTGTTCCCAAATTTTTGCTATTACAATTGATGTTCAGGAAACACATATAGCAGCAGTCCCCAACCTTTTTGGCACCAGGGACTGGTTTCTTGGAAGACAATTTTTCCACAGACCAGGAGGGAGGAAGAGGAAATGTTCTGGGGATGATTCAAGTGCATTACATTTATTGTGCACTCTATTTCTATTATTATTACAATGTAACATATAATGAAATAATTATACATCTCATCATAATGTACAATCAGTGGGAGTCCTGAGCTTGTTTTCTTGCAACTAGATGGTCCTATCTGGGGGTGATGGGAGACAGTGACATATCATCAGGCATTAGATTCTCATAAGAAGCACACAACTTAGATCCCTCACATGCCAGTTCACAATAGGGTTTGGGCTCCTATGAGAATCTAATGCTGCCACTGATCTAACAGGAGGCAGAGCTCAGGCAGTAATGTGAGCAATGAGTGATGGAGAGTGGCTGTAAATACAGACGAAGCTTCACGGGAAGGGGGCGATCTGATATATAGGATTTCTGTGGCAAATCTGAAAACATTTCTCTAGTATGCATTTCTACAAGAGGGATTTCTCATATGCATTTTCAACATTATTAGGTATTGCCAAATTTCACTCAAAAGTAAATATACCCCAGCCTGGGTGACAGAGCAAAACCCTGTCTCTACTAAAAATGCAAAAATTAGCTGGGCATGGTGGTGTGTGCCTGTGGTCCCAGCTACTCAGGAGGCTGAGGTAGGGGGATCACTTGAGCCCAGGAGGCAGAAGATGGAGTGAGCCAAGATCGTGCCACTCACTGCACTCCAGCCTGGGTGACAGGGAGAGACTCTATCTCAAAAAAAATTAAAAAGTAAATACACCAGTTTATATTCTGACCTGGTTCCTTCTTGTTCTCCTTGCTAATTATGGGTATTGTCAGATTTCTGGAAGCTCACCATCTGGCGGGTGTCAAATAGTATCGTATCATTGGTTTAATTTGCACACCCTAAGTTACTAGTAAGGTTCACCTCCTTTACATATATTCAGTGGCCATTGTAGGCATATTTGTCTATTTTTTTCTTATTAAGCCATAATCTTTTTTACAAAGATAAAAAAAGGGGTTCTACGTGACTGCAAGACACTTACCCTCTTCTGTTGATATGTTGCATGCATATCCTCCCATCCATCATACATCTTTTAACATTGTTTACACTGTGTTTTGATGCTAAGCTTTCAAATATTTAGTTTAGTAAACATTGCCAATAATTTTGAGTTTTGCTTTGTGTCTTATCTAAAAAAAAAAAAACCTCTCATGCCTCTCATTTTTGCTTTTAATCTTAGAGAATTTTTGTCACAAATAAGAACTTAATCCATCTGAAATTAGTTTTTGTATATGGTAGTAAATCTGAGGCCTAATTTGCCCCCTCCATGGAAAAGTTATTATTCAAACATCTATGATTGAGAGGTCAATCTTTCTGCCACTGATTTACAGATCTACCTATATATACCTGGATCTGTTTCTGGATTCTATATTCTATTACCTTGATCTAGTTTTTAAAAATATCCTTGCAATGATGTAATACTACTTTATTTATTATAGCTCTATTTCTAATCTTGATATGTGATCAACCCCATTATTCTCATCTCAATGGTTTTTTTTCCCTCTTTCCTTTTCAGAATTGTTCTAAATATTTTGGGGCCCTTACTCATCCAGATTAATTTTAAAAGTTAATTTCGGATCAATTTGGTTGGGATTTTAATTGGAGTTACATTGAATTTATAGATAGATTTGGAGGATCATTATCATAAGGAAATGGCTTATTACCAGTATGAACATGATACAGTTCTCCATTTACTTGTATTTTTAAAAACATAATTTAATAATGTTTTGTACATCTTCTGTTAGGCATTGCTTTTAAGTACCTAATAGTTCTTGTTTCTATTATGAAATGCATTTTATTCAATACTAGTTTCTAATTGCTCTCGCTGGTGTGGAGCATCTTCTTAACTTTGGTTTATTGCTGTTATATCCAGTAGCAATCTTGCTAAACTTTTATTAAATTTAAACAAATCTAAAATTTATGTATTTTTACATTTTTCTTCCAATCACATTCTATTCTGTGCCTCTATTCTAATCCTTAGAGCCTCTTCTTTTTTTCATACTACATATTATGGTCTCAATTGTGCCCCTCTCCCCGATTCATATGTTGAAGTCCTAAGCCCCAGTACCTCAGAATCTGACTGTTTTGCAGAGAGGACCTTTCTTTAAAGAGGTAATTAGGTTATTATATAAGGTCATCAGGATGAGCCCTAATCCAATATGACTGACGTCCTTATAAGAAGAGATTAGGACACAGACATGCCCAGAGGAAAGACCATGTGAAGACAGAGGAAGAAGATTGCTACCTAAAAGCTAAGGGGAGAGGCCTCAGAAGAAACTAACCTGCTGACACCTGGATCTCAGACTTCAAGCCCCCAGAACCGTGAGAAAATAAATGTCTGGTGTTAAACCCACTCAATCTGTGATATTTTGTCATAGCAGCCCTAGTATACTATACTAGCCCAGACTTCCAGTAAAATGCTATGGAACAGTTGTGACAGCAGGCATATTTGCACTGTACAGTAGTTCCCCCTTATTTGAGGCTTAGCTTTCTACAGTTTCTGTGACCCTCAGTCAACTGCAGTCCAAAAACATTAAATAGAAAGTTCCAAAAATAAACAATTCCTAAGTTTTAAGTTGCGCACTGTTCTGTGTAGCATGATGAAATCTCACACTGTCCAACTCTGTCCTATCCAGGATGTGAATCATCCCTTTACCCAGTATATCCACGCTGTATATGCTACCCACCTGTTAGGCACTTAGTAGTTCTCTCGTCTACCAAACTGAAAAAACATAGTACATATAGGGTTCAGTACTTTCCAAATTTTCAGCATTCATTACCAGGGGTCTTAGAGCATATTACCCACTGATAAACGGGGACTAATATACCTAACTTTAAAGACAATGTCTCTCAAGTTTCACAAATGACCATGACATTTGCTGTAGGCTTTTGGAGGATTCCCTTTAACTAGTTAAGGACGTTCCCTAGATTTCTAATATTCTTTTTTTTAAAAAAAAAAAACATATCTATAAAAATATAAAAGGAATATATATGCAATTTAAAGTTAAGAAATAGTTAACTTAAAAAATAGAAAATTAGCAGTACTTTAAAGCCTCTTTGAGCCCATCACTGATGATATTCCCTGCTATCATCCTGAAGATGAATACTTTCTTGAATTTAATGTTAATTATTCCTTTGTTTTCCCACGTATGAATGTATCCTAAATAATATGATTTCACTTTCTCAGTTTTGGACTTTATACAAATAGAATTATACTTTGTATTTTTGAACTGCTTATTTTCTTTACCATCATGTTTCTGAGACTTATTTAGTTAAAGCACTGTTAAAATTCATTTGTTTTCACTATTGTGTAGTATACTATATGAATATATCAACATTTATTTATGGTATAGTATTGATATATTAAAGTTTTGGGGCCATCATATATAATCTATAAACATTCTTGTGAACCTCTCCTGCATATAAGCAAGAATTTCCCTAGGTATATACACTGGTATATGCTAGATACCAGTGTATTTAGTAGAAATTACTAGATCACAGAGTCTATTCAAGTTCAACTTTACAAGGTACATGCGCATGCACTACTGCAGAATTTAAATGCAGGCATGTATTTACTAGGTATAGGGTAGGCATATCGCCAATTTTAGTAGATAATGCCAAATTGTTTTCCAAAGTGAGTATACCAACACATGAGATTTACCAGTAATCTACATTTTCACCAGCCCTTAGAAACGTCCACCTTTTTATTTTCTGACAATCTGGAGGATAAAAAAAGGAACTCTGATGTGATTTGATTTGCCAAAAAATCATAAAATATATAAAAATACATAATATATTTTATGAAATATATTTTAATTATATATGTATATATGCATGCACATATAAAATTTGTGTATATCTACCAAGAGCTTTAACTCACCTGTTTGGAAAGTGACTTCCAAGTTTTGGCAACTAAAATAAACAAATGTAAGATAATTAGATAATAAATACTTCATGGAATATATATCCATATTTGCTAACCATCTACAACCATAACTCATAACCAAACTTTTATGTCCAAAAGGCAAAGTTTTCTTTTAACCTCAAAATTTGGATCTGTGATATGATCTTATATATGTTATCTATTTGCTTCATATATACTATGCACTGTTCATAGTAAGTATCAGTGATACAGGAAACATTTCTCCACAGCCGTATCATCTTAATTTGGGCTTTCTGGACTAATAAAGTAAGCTAACTTTCTCCATGTTAAACATCTTGTGGGCTTAAAAGCACAAATAATGATACTTATAAAATATTCAAACTAGAATATAAAATAACATTAACATAGATAAACTATAATTTTAAGGTATTACTTGTGATCTTTGCTATACTAGTGTTCCATGACGTAATTCACAGGTCAGGTCTCTCTAGGATGAAGAAGGATTGGGGAAAGAAAAAAAGAAAGGAAAGGGAGGCTAGGCAAAGTGATGGGGAAACTTGTCCTGTTTCATTACTCTTCCCTACAACTATTCAAGAAGCATCACTGGAGTAAGAGTGTTACAGCTGAATAAAATGTCAGGGATCACTTTCTTTTTGTGATTCCTCCTCACACCCCCAAAGATCTCAAACACTGTAAAACTTAAAATGTTGGGACAAATGTATAGTCAGTATTGCTATTTCCTTTGCTCACATTTGAACACTGTAAATATTTAATGCCTGCCTAAGAATTAGCACCAGGTTTACATTTGATTAAGCCCTGTAATACAGCTGTATTAGGAAACTGGTTAATATTAATTATTTCAGCTACATTACAATAATGCCAACCAACATCTTCTTCTACCTGGCAATGGGGCTATTTCTGTATAATTAACAATATATCAAATTCAAAATTACAAAAAAAGCAATTTTTGCTGTGTAGTTTTTTCTTTATTAGGCAACAAAACAACTCAATTTAAAATCAAAAGAGAAGAAATATGTTTCTAAGGATAGATTTCTTCTTTATGTAGCAACAACATCCTTCATCTATCCAAGATAGTTGATACAAATGTGTAATCAAGTGATTCAAATCACAGGTCTACAAATTAGAATTTAGCATGTAAACTTAACTATGACACTGGTGCAAAGACACTTCCCTTTTAACAATGAACAGAACAATACAAATAGTATTTATTATTCTGTTGCTCTTAAAATATAGCAGTAAGGAAAGAAGAAAAATAAATGGTAGAAAAGTACATGCACGTGCTCTTATGCAATGCTCAGAAGGTATTTATCGGAAGAGGAAGTTAGAGGTACTCTTGAGTTTTGCAGGGTTTATGAGATTTCCATGGTAAATTATTCACAAAAGACATATTCATTCTGTCGGAAATGTCACCATGTTCAATACTATTATCTTTTTAAATAAAGACTAAAGAGCCATTAAGATTGCTCTTCAAAGGATTTTCTGAATTCCTTATTTCATATGAAGTTACTGCACATATAAATATAACTTAGGTGAAGAAGGACTTCAATTCTAGTGGAAATATTATTTCTTAAGCTGTAGGTTGATGTTCATTATATTTTTAATACGTTTTTGTATGTCTGAAAAATTTAATATATTTTTAAAAATCTAAATTAAAATAATTCTTGATGCTATGTTGGAAAATAATTACTGATTTTAGTTCTAGAAAAGAAAGTCACCATTTAGGTTCTATTTAAGTATGCAAAATAAGATTATAATGCAAAATCATAATCAACAGATATCTCAACATTTATTTGATCTATAATTTTTAAGCAAATATTTACACAGCATACCATTTTTTCCCTGTTGAATGTCATCATAAAATGATATCAAAAACTTTCAAAAATAATGGCTATGATTTTAAACAGCGAAAAAAATGGTGTGCCGTGTAAATATTTGCTTAAAAATTATCACAGCTATGGGCTGGGCATGGTGGCTTACGCCTGTAATTGCACCCCTTTGGAGGCCGAGGCAGGAGGATCACCTGAGGTCAGGAGTTTGAGACCAGCCTGGCCAATATGGTTAAACCATGGTGAAACTCCAGCTCTGCAAAAATACAAAAATTAGCTGGGCATGACAGCAGCTGCCCGTAATCCCAGCTATTCAGGAGGCTGAGGCAGGAGAATCACTTGAACCCAGGAAGCGGAGGTTGCAGTGAGCTGAGATCACCCCATTGCGGTCCAGCCTAGTTGACAGAGCGAGTCTCCTCTTGGGGAAAAAAAAAAAAAATCATGGCTATGAATTCTGATGACGATGATGATGACATACCAATATTAAATGTTTACTGTGTGCCAGGTACTATACTAACCATAATTCATTCGATCTTCAAGAAAAACTTCATGAGGCTGTTATTTTTATAAATGAGGAAACAGAAGATTAAATAACCAAGTTTTCAAAGCCAGTAAATGCCAAGGTTTAAACACAAGTCAAATTTCATTACGCTACAGTTTTAACATATCTGATTTAATACTCAGTACATGAAACATTGTTCTATTCTTTTCCTTTTCTAAAACCCCAACTTTCAAAACAGGATTTATGAATATCTTGATCTTTTGTGATTGTTCCTAATTATGTTTGAAAAGTGCTGGTTAGAAATTAACTGAAGTTGTGGTTGTAAAATATCCTGTATAACTTTTCTATAATAGAAACCAGTTTTTTACTCTTAAGTTATGGTTTTAAAATATCTATGAGAAGAATCACCACAAAAGTTATTTCCAAAAAGCAAAATCGAACAGTGTGCTTCCAGTGAATGTATTCTGAAGAAAAAAATTCTAGAAAATAATGAAGTAAAATTTTTCAAAATATGAAACTGTGGCCAGGCACAGTAGCTCACGCCTGTAATCCCAGCACTTTGGGAGGCTGAGGCAGGTGGACTGCTCGAGCCCAGGAGTTCAAGCCAAGCCTGGGAAACATAGCAAAACCCTCTCTCTACAAAAAAATTTAAAAAATTAGCTGGTGGCATGGTGGCATGTGCCTGTAGTCCCAGCTACTTGGGAGGCTGAGGTGGGAGGATCACTTGAGCCTCGGAGGTTGAGGTTGTAGTGAGTAGTGATCACGTCACTGAACTCCAGCCCGGGGGACAGGGCAAGACCCTGCCTCAAAAAAAAAAAAAAAAATCTATATATATATATATATATATATAGATTATTAACAATCACTTAAAGAATAGCTTTCAAATATGTTTGAAAAAATTATAGAATTTGATATAAAATACCATTTAGCATCTAACAAATTCCTTCCTTCAAGAAATATTTATTGTGTACCTATCATGTGCCAGGTAACCATATTCTACCTTGGAGATGGTTCTGTATCTTACGTCGTCTTATAATATCGTAAGTTTCCTGAGTGCACAGACTTTGTATCCCCCTTAGCACACAGAAAAGAACCTTAATACAGAAGCAGACATATAAATATTCCATACATTTTTATTTAATTGATTTGGTACAACATGGTCTCTATATTTATTAGCAAATTAGTATTAAATCTATACTAACTCACTAATAAAGAATCTACATTGTACCAAATGGATTAAATAAAAAGGATATAACACTTATCACAGCCTTAAAATTCGTAAATAAAAAAAAAAAGAACTCTACTTAATTTTTCACCTTTCCCATCACTATATGGCCCTACATATTCCCAAAGTGGCTACTATGACTATACCATATACTGTCTTGATTTCATGTTTTTGCTTATGTAGTTTACATTTCTTTAAACGTTACTCTCATAGTTTCTTGTTAAAATCTTTTTTTTAATTTAAAATCTTGCATAATCAAAAGTGTCTACTTCAAATTCCATTACAGCTACCTTTCAGTTCCTTTCTCTTTTGCAATCAAATATTGTAAGAGAGTCCTTTACACTCATCGTCTTCATTTCTTCATCTGCTACTCACTCCTGCAATTGCCCTAATGACTCCACTGAAACATCATTTTAAAAAACCATCAATAACCTTCATGTTTTTAAATCTAGTGGACATTTTCCTGTTCTTATCTAACTTGAATTCTCAGTAACACTGCACTCAATTGGCAATTCTGGCTATTTTACTCGGCTTCCATGACTACATACCCTTATGATTTTCTTCCTATGTCTCTGGCCACTCCTATGTCCCCTTTTCTCATCCTTTCAAAGCCTTTTGTCCATTCATCTTTTAAAGAGCAGAAATTCCTCAAGGCCTAGTCTTTGGTTATCTATATTCTCATCCTATACAGCTTCCCTAGGCAATTTCATTCATACACATTCTATGAATTAGCAATAATGCAAAGATGAATCCTAAATATATACCTGAATCTCTTCCTTGATATCCAGTGGAAATAATCCAAAGAATCAAAAATTCATTAAAAGTTACTATGTCAAGTAGCCAATTTGTCAAATTATTGAGGATTTATTTTAAGGTTCATTTTTGCCATATTGCTGTCTCTGGAGGAAAAAATGGCTATAATTGTTCTAGTCTAAGTTAAAGTATTTGTGTGACAGTTTAAAGTAGATATGGGTCGAACAAATGATTATTTGTTATACTGATTTTTAGTGAGTGATCTTTCAGTGAAGTGAAATGAATTATTTTTTAAAAAAATACACTGTATCCTTTTATATATCCAAGGTATCTCAAATAGACATGACCAAAATTGAAATTGTGATTTTTCTCCTCAAACCTGGTCCCTAGTGCCATCCATCCAGGTAAGCCAGCCAGAAATCCTCGGTTCTCATTACTCTTTTACCACCATCTATAGAGACTTTTGAAGCTGCAACTACCACCAGCCAATTGTGATACAGTATCAAAGGAGAGTACCTATAATAATCTAAAAAGGCAATTAAAATACTCCTTTTTTTACTGTCCATGTCTGTGAGGTAGATTTTCTTCATATATTTCATGGAAAACAACATATTATAACAGATCAAATAAAAAAGCACACATGAGAATACAGCTGTCTTCTGTTAAGTTAGATATTAAGAGATTTGCAAGAATGTACATACTTCCAAAAATTTTGAGAACCATTATTCTAACATATGAAAAGGTGAGAGACAATGAAACTATTAATATATTTACACTGCAGGAGCTATGACAAACGCAGAAGAGATACAGGTAGAATTCTTGCCCAGGGCTAACCTCAAAGCCAGTCCTCTGAACTACTCTGTTCAGGTTTGATATAAGAATGAAGAGGCAGAATATGAGTCTTTTATAAAGAGTATCAAAAGTAAGATGGTGTTAAGCTGAGAAAGATGGAGCAATTGAAAGTTTCTGAAAAGAGAAGAGATGTGAGTAAGAGTTTGTAAGAAATATCAGTCTGTAACACTGAATAGCACAATATCATGTGAAATACCACATTACTCAGTTCTTCTAAAAAACTTATACTGCTCCATCCATTCACAAGCTAGAGATAAAAAAATTATACAATTATTAAGATAATTTCAAAAGTGTACTTACCTTTGGGCTCATCTGTTGTAACAGCCAAAATAAAATCATACGGAGTCATGAATAACTGCCCTTCACATTCTATAGAAGCAAATAAACGAAATCGCCTCTCCCGAGATGTGGCATAAAGGTCTAAGTCTTCAATGTCTGTTCTGCCAATAGCAACCTAAAGTTAAGAAAGCAAATACATTTGGATGATGTGAAGTAATACCTCCCTCTAGAAGATACTTTTAATTATGTTGAAAGTGAATAAACAGAGTAAATGAGGAAGTGTGAAAATATCGTCTTCTGAAAAACGTTAATCACTTTATAAATAAATTATTCACATAAATAAAATAAATTAATATTCGAAAGATTCTACAAAAAATATCATTAAGAGCTTAAGGATTTTAAACTGGCACTTTGGAGAAGTGATTTGTGATTTTTTTTTGGTTTATTTCTTAAGCTTCAGTCTTAAAGAACATTAAATTATGGAGCCAGTGGTACTTTTAGAAGGAACACCAGCGCTTGCTGAATGCCTACTATGTACTCTTATAGGCTAATGTATTTAATTACAAGTCTATTCACTAACATCCACTAATTTTCTAAAAGAATAAAGTAAAATCCCAATAGGCTACTTATAACTACCACTAAGGAAACCATTAGTGGTAATATTTAGATTAGAAGTGAAATTGCTAGTTCCAGATCACTACAGTATAGTGGCCATCATTGGTCTGAATTTTAGGGGTCTCTTTTCCTTCAAGACCTTTCCTTGTAGATAATATTCCATTGTTATTTTCTCTCTGAAGTAACTAGAGCAATTTTTTTTAATAAAAGGATTTATTTTCCTGATTACAAGAGAAATGCAAAGCTCTTACATGTAATTTAGAAGACAGAATTGTAAAAAATTTGTTAAGTATAATTTTGTTTTCTTTTTGGCAAAAAAGTGGGATTTTACCATACATGCTTCAATAACCTGATCTTTTTCACTTATCAATTATCAGGGCCATTTTTCTATGTCACTAAATATTCTAGTAGTTACCGTATAAAATTAGAAGACAGAATCTAAAAATTTATAGATAGAATTGTTTTTGCTTTCTTTTGGCAAAGAAAATGGGATTATACCATATATATCATTCAGTAATCTGACCTTTTTACTTACTAAAACTTCGGGGCCATTTTCCTGTGTCACTATTCCTGTAGAAGACCATTTTTGTTAACTGTATAATATTCCATAGAAAATGTTTATAGTATAACATAAACAATTCTACTTGGTTATTCATGTTGACTTCTAATCTTTTGCTATTACAAAACAATGGTATAATGACCAACCTTGAAAATATTCAGAAATATCCATAACAGTTCTTCAGGATAAGTTCTTTTTTTTTTTTTTAGACAGAGTCTCACTCTGTCACCCAGGCTGGAGTACAGTGGCATGATCTCAGCTCACTGCAACCTCCACCTCCCAGGTTCAAGCGACTCTCCTGCCTAGCCTCCCTTAATCCTTAGGAGTGAAACTGATTAGTCAAAGAAGACTTTTTAGTCAAACTGTCTTCATGGAGTTTATAGCAATTTACATGATTATCAGTAACACACAAATTATACTTTCACGTATTTTATAAAATGATTTCATATAAGAAAAAACTGTTTAAATATTTAGTACCTTGAGAAGCCATAACAAAAACAACCCAAAGAAACTTTTGGCAAGAATACTACTTTATTTCTAAGTTACATCTTATTAAACGAAAAGCCAGGCAAATGATTAATCTTTTCCATCATTCTGAAGACTAAGACTTCTCAAAACATTACAGGAGTAGTCAAATAAAAACTGAAAAAAAGTTTCGCTCCCCACTTCTAACGGCATAAGAAATGGAAGTTGTGGTGTCTGTCTTTAAGGAATGAATATCAATCTATATGGAAAGAGAGAATGCTGGCTGGAGAGACAAAAGGCACAAACAGAGAAACGGAATGGGTTAAATGCAAGCAAATAGAAGAAAGGTGCCATAGGCTGGGCTTAAAAAGAAGGCTTCAGGAAAAATGATAAATTTTAATGTCAAGAAAAGATATGAACATGTGGAGTTTCTACAGCATATTTGAAAGATGGCCATAATCTTCCTGGGCAGAGGATTCATATTCATGGAGAAGTGTAGTAAAAGGATGGTGAGCTAATGATTTCTGAATGCCAGACTAAAGCCCCGGAGTTTAATTTAACAGTAAACAAATGGTCTTAGGAGATTCTTAAGTGGAGCAATGACTCAAAGAAAATGGTGCTTTAGAAACATAAAGCAACCTGGTACCAAAGACAAGTTGGCTCAGCAGTATATTGATAACAGTTGCTCAGGTGTCCACAGGTATTGGAAAATTGTTTTGGCCCTGCCGTGGGTGAGACATGAGATACTGAACAGCTCACTGGTAAAAACGAGCAATCATCTCCCTGAATGGTCCTCGGGGATCAGACTACCATCTTAGTCCCCTTGTATATACATATCTCAGGGTTTCTTCTTCCTCTCAAGGTGGGAAACCAATCTCATCTGTGACTAGAGTTTACTTTTCTACTTTTTTCTTGCTAGGCCATTTCCCTGGGCCTAGGTGACATCAATCAACCATGATTTATCACCAGTGAATTTCATGGAGGACCACTCAGCCTGGAGCTCCCACTGTTTCTGCAGCATGATCTGAATGAAGCATGCCTCGATCTACCATTCTGCACCCCAAGTTTCTGCCTATAACATCTATATTTGATCTGTGGCTTCTGTCTCTACCTGGTGCTACTACTGCTCCTGACATGCCTGTTTTCTCACCAAACTTTCTTTCCTTAAGCATAGTCTAACAATCCCCCAGCTTACCAAACCCTGTTACCTCCTGAGATGCCTGTTTTCTCATCTCTTGCCACTACCGCTCCTGAGATGCCTGTTTTTTCATCAAACTTTCTTTCCTTAAGCATAGTCTATCAATCCCCCAGCTTACCAAACCCACCTGACCACTGCAGCTGGGAATGTGATCCACCTTCTTTGAGCTAATGCTGACAATCCCTCCTCCTTTACCTCTACCAACAATCAACTAACAAAGCCTGCAGTCCTCTCTCTAATTTCACACATCAAAACCACTGCCACCACCTTTGTTCAGGGACTCATTACTACTTTCCTACAGTTTTATAGTAATGCCCTGTGATTGTTACCTCTAATCCATCCCATGTTGAAGTGAGAGAAAACATGCAGAACTACAGAAAAGTTTGCATTCTTTAACCACCTAAGTAAGGGTATGAAAAGAAATCTTACCAAGCAGAGTTGAAGGTTTTCATTAAAACTCCACTTTACGAATCCACTCCTGTTGGCTTAGCAATAATATTAAGTGGGGCTTTTGACAATGGTATTAGGTGCGGGCCCACATTTCTATTTAGCACCACTTTAAAAGAAGGTCAGTAAGGAGTTTGGAAAGGGTTTGTGCCCCAGGCAAAAAAAAAAAAAAATTATATCCTAAAAAAAAGAATATGTATAAAAGAGATAACCAGAGGCCTGGTGCTTAAAAGGGCTTCCCAGTACCACCAACTGGTTGCTTCCTCCATTGTCTCTGCTCAATTTAGTATAATAAAGCACACAGTCTACTAAAACACACCAATACCACTCAGATGAAAAATGGACTGGTTAAATGTAAGTAATGGCCAGGCGTAGTGGCTCATGCCCGTAATCCCAGCACTATGGGAGGCCGAGGCAGGCGGATCACTTGAGGTCAGGAGTTCGAGACCAGCCTGGCCAACATGGTGAAACCCTGTCTCTACTAAAAATACAAAAATTGGCCGGGTGTGGTGGTGCACGCATGCCTGTAATCCCAGCTACTTGGGAGGCTGA
Organism: Homo sapiens; assembly: GCF_000001405.40. Taxonomy (NCBI): domain Eukaryota; kingdom Metazoa; phylum Chordata; class Mammalia; order Primates; family Hominidae; genus Homo; species Homo sapiens. Next base: position 17,060,422 of record NC_000008.11, on the reverse strand, counting down.
GGCAGGAGAATCACTTGAAATCACTCGTAACCCGGGAGGCAGAGGCTGCAGTACACCAAAATCACACCACTGCACTCCAGCCTAATCGACAGCACGAGACTCTGTCTCAAAGAAAAAAAAAAAAAAGTAAACAGTTTCCCCATGATAACCCAGTAAATTGGTCTGATCCCAGAATAGTCTACTTATTATCAACTAGGAGAACTCAGCTCATCTGGATGGAGAATGAGACAGGATGGAGAGTGAAACAGAAACTCAATACTTGGGTTGGTTTTTAAGTTCTCTGTTCTCTTCTACAAACTTATTTGTCTCTTTCTACTCAAATACCATACTGTTTTAATGACTATATCTTTTGAATATGTTTTGACATTAAAACAACACTGTACCTGTCAATCTGTTTAAAAATATATGTGATGACAGGTAATTTTCTATTCAAGGTAAACTTTGAAATCAGTGTATCAAATTCTGTTGTAAAAATCCTACTAGTATTTTGTTTGAGATGACATTAAATTTTGGGAGAATTGATCGTCTCACAATATTGATTTTTCCAACCTAGGAACATAGATGTCTATTTAATCAAGTCTTCAACTATGTCTTTTAATAAAGTTTTGTAGTTTTCTTCATATAAATTTTAAATTTTTTTTGGTAGATTCATTCCTAAGCATTTCATAATTTCTGTGTAATTTGAATTGAGAATGGGATCTTTTATTCTATTACACTTTCAGTTGGTTACTTTTTGTTTGGGAAGGCTATTAACTTTAGTGTATTTGCTTCATATCCAACTATCTTATTAAATTCCTTCACTAAACTTTTTTCTCAGATTTGCTAAGTAGGTAATCACAAATTCTTTCAAAATGGTGACAGTTGTAGCTTCTCCTTTTCAGCATTTATATCTCATTTTCGTTGCCTTATTGCTAGAGTGGTAGGTCTATAAAAATGATGTTGAATATTATCAGTAATATTAAGCACTCTTGACTTTTTCTACGTTTTGAAGAGAATGCTTCTAATGAATTGCCAATAAAAGCAATGGCTGCTGTTAGTTTTGATAATTATCTTCTACCTTTTATCAGGAATTGGTATTCACCTGGTCTACTTTGTTCTCTGAAAATGAGTTTAGAGTTAGAATGGTCCTTAGAGATCATTTGGTCCTCTTGTTTCTTCACGTTTTCATCAGAATAGAAACGTAAATACTAGTCCCCAAACAAATATTTAAAATGTGTTGGGTGAGTAGCAGCATAAATAGGAATCCCCAAACAAAAACTCAAACTATATTGGATGAAACTCTATTATTTGCATTCTTTTAAGCTTATATAGTTTCCAAGATGAATATTTAATGTCAACAAATGACAAATGTAAATTCACTGACTCATTCAACAGGTACTTGCTGTGTGCCTATTACATACAAATGAAATATTATAAAATAATTAGTCAATTGGAAGATTACCAACATTAACTAAAACTGTTTTAGGACAAAACAAATAAACTTGGTTTAATCATGTTCTGCCTACATACACCTAACTACTTTCAAACACTTCAAGAATCCATATGCTTATTTCTCTGGAGTTTATCAACAGACAGTTTACTTAGAGAATGATCTAATGGCATAAGATGAATAATTTGTCGTTTGTTACTATGATACAGTTCTGACCAAGCTACACCTCAGAGTGCACAGGAGATTGGCTTGGAGCAGTCCATGAAGTTCTGCTGAGTATACTCGATCTACTGGAAACTCTGAGAAAGAGGCGGCAGCTGGCCAGCAGACCATCAAAGTGTCAAAAGGAACTCAGACCTTTCAGAGATTGAGCTTTGCTTCTGAACTTTCCAAAGTTTAAAAAAACCCCAAAGTCTCTGAAGTTTTAACATCACAATTATAAACATTCAAGAAAAAAAAAACATCAATAATAAAGGCGGAACATGACATTAAACCAGTTTACTAAACCTCTTGTGAGTCTTGCTTGTTTACAAATGACAATGATCTTGTATCACGTTCATGTTCTGGACCTTTTAAAAAACAAATATGGCCATTTCACTGGAGCACAATGAATCTGTGGTTCTGTGATTAGGTGTATATCCTTATATTACTAGGAATAGGTTTCACTGGCTGAGCTACTTCATTTTAAATACCTTTTTTGCTTACCTAGATCCAATATATCTTTTAAAGGTTAATTTCCAATTTAAAAATCCTACTAAAATCAACCAAAACATCTTTCATTACTATGTATTATTTCAGTAAATGGTACTTTTGGCATCACAAATTGCCAATGCAGTAAAAACTTGTCGCTAAGTGTAATATGTCAAAAGTCAATAGGGTACTTTTGGAGGCCGAGGCGGGTGGATCACCTGCGGTCAGGAGTTCGAGACCAGCCTGGCCAACATGGTGAAACCCCATCTCTGCTAAAAATACAGAAAAATTAGCCAGGTGTGGTGGCGAGTGCCTGTAATCTCAGCTACTTGGGGAGCTGAGGCAGGAGAATCACTTGAACCTGAGACGTAGAGGCTGCAGTGATCTGAGAACACACCATTGCACTCCAGCCTGGGCAACAAAAGTGAAACTCCGTCTCAACAACAACAACAACAACAACAACAACAAGAACAACAACAAAAAACGAAAAAAAGGTCAACAGGGAAAGCTAACCTTAAAGCCAAGAAAACCTGAATTATATTCATTCATGTGTGAAACCATAAATTGCTAAACTGAAAATCATTATCATCAATTCAGTGTTACATACTTTAAAATATGCCTTTCAAAAGTGGTAATGTAGGAGGAGATCATTTGCAAATTGGTAGGGAAGAGACTGAGAGGAGTTATAGAATAAAGCAATTATATAAGAAAAATTCTTAATTTCTACAGATTATAACTTATATTAATTGTAACAATAATTATAAATTATAGCTATTATCAATGTTAAAAATTTGCTCTAATTAAAAATTCTTAGAGATTAAATATAATTAATACTGTTTGAACCTTGAATTATTGTTTTCATATAAGTTTTGGAACCAATCCTGTTCCAGGTTGGAGGTAACCACATACTCTCAGGCCAGAGATCAGGGTGTCGCCTGTTATGTTCTGGGAACAAGAACTGAGCTCCTGATTTGCTCCCTATCCTTAGAACCAACCCATCCCTGATTTCCCAATGTCTGTACCTGGGTTCCTGTCAACCTGTGCCTGAGACATCTTCCTCCTGCTCCACAGGTTCCCTCTGGAACTGCAGTGCATGCTTACCTACCCACCCCAGTGCTTGGTGTTAGGCTGCTACTTACCAGATCTCCTTAATGCTTCTTTCTAAACTCTGTCTGTTTAAAGCTCTGCTAGTTATCAACACATTCAATGGTTATTTACTGACAGAACTTCATAAAATCAACTAAGCTAATACTAACCAAACTCTTAGCTTAACCTGTTGACAGAAACAAGAATGAGTCTAATTTCCATCTGAGCTTAGGATAAACTCTGGAAACCGTAATGGTCTCTGCCATGGCCAGCTCCGGGAATATTTTAGATCTACTTCAGTTCCCTGCTTAACTTCGCAATTTCTCTGGCGATGACTCCAATACTTTTCCAGCTATTGCCAAGGAGATGAATCCACGATGTTCCATATCAAATGGAATATGTGATTCTCACGAAGGCCACCTTCCAGAAAACTTCTGCTGCCACACCCTCTCTACTGTATAAGCTACTGACTGCTCCACATCGATTCCTAATTAATCACATCCCTTGTGATAGCATACCTTAGACTCTGACCACACAGCTTCCCTGTGAGCCAACACAGTATCTGGATAAATCCTAGTGATTTCCTTTATATATCCCTATTACATCACTTGTACTCCTTTCCTCCAGTCACACCAGGTTGCAATTATCTGTTTACGTATTTGTCTCTTCCATTCAATCATGAATTCCTTGAGCCATAAGTTCTTGCAAGAAAAAGAAAAACATAAATATCACTTGGAAGAGGTTCAAATGAGTAAGACTGCAGGAGAGCACTACACGGAGGACTGCAGGAGCAGGCAGCAAATGGAGGGAACAAGAAGCCAGACAGGAAAGGTATGGGAGATGCAGCATATGATTCATTTGGCACAATCCTTAACCAACTTCAAGACCCAGACTATGAACCTCAGCCAGGAATAGAGGAGATTACAAAGAGGTTCAAGCAGCAGGCAAATTGACTGAAGCCCACTATTCAAAGAAGAGTAAGTAGATAAGAGGAGCCTCCATTCAGGAAGAAGAAATGTAGTCCCTGGGGAATTGACATAAGGTCACTGGGATCCTTTAAGTGACCTTCTAAGATAGGAATCTGAAACAGGGGATTCGGATAGAAGACTGGGGCTAAATCACAGGGATCAATCAGTTACATTAATAATGTCAAGCAGCCAATTAGCTATTAATCTAAAGCTCCTTATATTCTGTGGGTCTTAGTGTGTGTGGTGAGGTTGAACGTACAGGCAGGCAGTTAGGTGAACTTTCATACTGGGAGGACTTAAGAGACATGTCTAGCTGACAGTTAATTCACCTTTATCCAAAAACGATCATCTCCCTTCTCAATGATCAAGACCTTCACCAATTAATCCCTTCTCTACTGTATTAGACAGGGTAGGCTAACTTCCTCAAATGTAATGGCTCCAACACAACACAAGTGTGTGTCTTTCTTTCTCACATAAGAGCCCCAAGAGAACGTACTAGGACAGGGGCTGGGAGTGGGATCAAGGAGCTCTGCTTTATATAGTCATTCAGAGACCCAGGCAGATGATGACTCTGTCATTATCAACGAAGGGAGAGGGAAATAAAGTATGGGAGAAGTTCATGTGAGAAGCTTTTATAGGCCAGGCCTAGAAGTGGTGCAAATCACTTCTGCTCACCTTCAACTGAAGAGAACTTAAGTCACACAACCACACTTAAGTGCAAGTAAGGATGGAAAATGAAGAAGAGCTGGACATCTATACCCTAACTATTATGGAAAAGGAGAAGAAATTGTGCTCAACAGTTTGCAGTCTCTCTGTCATACCAACTTTGGGTGACAACATCAGGGACTCATGGAATATTAAGGACTAAAAAGAAAAACATTAGAGTAAGTTTAAGAAAGATGGAGAGACTCACTTCCAAAACAAACCACATTTGTAAAATTAAAAGCCTCATGGGAGGTAACACTTCTAAATCACCTTCATCATTGTTTCAGGAAACACTAAACTGCTGTGATTCACTTAGGTTGACAGTTCCATACATTTCATCTCCTGCAGACTGTAATCTCTTTCCAAATTCTTAGACATAGCCATGGGCTTGATATTTAGTGTTATTTGCAGTTGTACTCTGCCTGGCCTTGTTTTCCAAATTTGGCAAAATGCTTCCGTAACTCTGACCTTTTCTCAAAACACTGCAACAGATTAAGAAAACGTTTGGGGCTGGGCACGGTGGCTCATGCTTGTAATCCCAGCACTTTAGGAGGCTGAGGCAGGCGGATCACGGGGTCAGGAGATCGAGACCATCCTGGCCAACATAGTGAAACCCCATCTCTACTAAAAATACAAAAATTAGCCGGGCATGGTGGCGGGCGCCTGTAATCCCAGCTACTTGGGAGGCTGAGGCAGGAGAATCGCTTGAACCCGGGAGGCAGAGGTTGCAGTGAGCTGACATCGTGCCACTGCACTCCAGCCTGGCGACAGAGCAAGACTCTGTCTCAAAAAAAAAAAAAAAAAAAGAAAGAAAGAAAAAGAAAAAGAAAACATTTGGGTCTGGTCCTCAGTCCTTGAATGTTGAGAGATGTTGAAGGTAAACAAATGGTTTTTGCTCTGCCTCCACAAACCTACCCACATTACCTAAGGGAGACTGAACAGTAAGTATTATTAGTATCCTACAGTTTAGTTTACAAAAACTGACTGAACTACCTACAGGTCTTCACATTTTGCTCTATAATTATGCAACTGAATTATTCCTAAACTTGGTGGCAGATTGCTATACTCAAAGTATGTAACAAAAATAACCAAAAATTCTAAATCTAAAATCTAAGTAACAGAAACAAAATATAAAACTCCCTGCAAATACATATATGTATATAAACTTAAGTTTTAAATCCTAACAACTTCATTTCTTTCATTCATATAGTAAAATCCATTCTGAAAATAAAATATCATCAAACTTCAAAATAATGAAATCATGGCATGTATGATTTTGTCAAATATTACCTAGTAAATGTAATAATATTACAATTTCTTGGCTTCATATGGGAATATTCTAACTAGATATGTGAAACTTTTTATAGTGCTATTTTTCACCGAATAGGAAAATATAGACATTGTGAAGTTCAAGGTAAGGTATCATTGCAGTATTTTTAGATGTGGCAAATTTTGCTGAAACGGAATTTTTTTTCTATCAAAAAGACCTTGCAAAGCTCCTGCAGAAAACTGCCCAAGCACAGATCACAGATCTGGCACATGACTTACCTTATTTATAAGTGTGAGGCCACACAGTAGAAACATGAAATCACAGAAATCGAGAGCTAAAAGATAACTGAAATTTGCCATTTCATGTTACTCCTTCTAGGAAATTACACCTTACACCTTCTAGGAAATTATTTTATGGGAATTGCCTGACACCCTTTTCACATTTGCTAAAAACGTTTAGGGAATCTTCTTCTTTCTACCTCTAGAAAGCTCTATTTCTTCTGTTTTATTGAGAAATTGTGAGCTATTTATGAGAATTTACGTTGAAATGATAAAAATATACATGATTTCTTCATAAAAATTAAGTAATAATTCTTTTTAGGTAACTTGGTGGATGCTTTAAGTCATGTTGACAGAACTAAGATGAGAAGCTTAAAAAATGACAAAAGTTTCATTTTTAAATTACCTCATCTTTCCCAGAAAAATAAAAATATTGTGTCAATACAATTATCTTCTCTGGAATTTCCAAACTCAGACCTTTGCAACCTTACTTAGATGTTACTTGTTAAGGTAGTGAGGCTAGGGCCTTCAGGCAACAGAGTACATCATTATCCTTCCTATAAAAACAGAAAACAAAGGTTCATTGCCAAGGCACAGGCTCACGTTACTTCAGGTCAGCAATTCAAAAATTTACTCTGTGTTAAGGTCTAGTTTTCCCAGGGAGGCAAGATTAAATGCCAGATAAAGGATTCACTACTTGACAATTAGAGAAACTTACGCCTACCAGCTGATAATACCCTAAAAGAGGCAATTTAAAACAATTATATCAATTATCTAAACTGCATAATACCTTACTCTGCATAATACCTTACCTTTTAGCAACCGTGAAACAGAGAAATGAGAATGAACAATGAAAGAAGAATTAAAATCATTTGTATTCACCAATATTATTTAGATTACTCATCCTTATTAGTTTCTTTAAGACACATTTGTTTTATTCAAAATTTTAAAGAGTGATTTTAAAATGTATTAATTTCATGTAGGGAATTGAGCACTGGTATTAGGATTTACCCTATGTTGGCAACTGTACCAACATTTTTATAAAACATAAAAAATAATCTTGCAAATTTATATTTCTACACTATATTATCTGGGCAAGAATCTTATGGACTTGCATGGGATTCTATTCAAGTAGCTAAAAAAGATGTTCATGGAAGTATTACATTTGGTTTTCCCAAATGGCTTCAGGCTTATTTAAAGGCATCTTGAAGATAAAAGAGGTAGCATTTTCTTTGCTTGCTGGGTGGTCGAAAGGTTAAACCTCAAATTCCCAGTGTGGGAAAATCCCAAGTACTCTAAGTGAAATGTTTTGATGCTTAGTAAATGCGTCTGTGTGGAAATACACACAGCTGAAGACAAGCTAATAGTACTTCCCTGGCTGAGATCAAAGTTTTTAAAAGTTGCTAGATAAAGCAACTGACCATTTATAATTTTTAAGGCCTCTAATTGTACAACGATAGTTACCAGACTATGGGAAGGGTGAGTGGGGGTTGGGGAAATGAAGACAGATTGGTTAATGAGTACAAACACAGTAAGATAGAAGAAATTAAATTCTAGAGTTCAATAGCACAGTAGGGTGACTGTAATTAATAATAAAATTCAAATATTTCAAAATAGCTAGAAGAGAAGATTTGAAATGTTCTTGACACAAAGAAATGATAAATGTTCAAGGGGATGGATAACCTAAATACCTTGATTTGATCATTACATACTGTATGCATGTATCAAAATATCATACACACCCCATAAATACATACAAATATTATGTATCATGATAAAAAACAAAAAAAAATTTAAGTCTCTACTTGTATTATTATAGTAGCTTACATTATAGGGTTCTTTACAAGTTTATAAAGTACTTTCACATACATCATCTCATTATTTGATTGAAAGATGACATAAATGAAAGTCTTTTTCTCTAGAGGCAGTATAGCATAGTGGTTCAGCATGTAGACCTCCTCTTTTCCTGCCTATTCAGACTTTGGTTCAGCAATACTGCCCTGGCCCTGCCAACCTATTTTTTCCTCTTCCACTGTATACTTCTCCTTCAGCATAACGCACGGTGCTATTCCTCCCACCTTAGAAAGTGCCCTGTCCCTCCTCTCTATTTAGCTACCTTTGCTCTCCTCCCTGCCATTTTTCTCCTTCCCTTTACAGCAAGGCTACTGGAGAGTGTTGTTTACATTTCCTCTCATTCTCTTTTGATCTTACTCCAGCAAGGCTCTCTTCTCTACCATGCCACCAAAACTGCTTGTCAAGGTCATCAATGACCTCCTTGTTGCTAAATCCAAAGGTCACTTCTCAGTTTTCCTCTTATAGCATTTGACACAGTTGGTGGCTCATTTCCCCTTGAAATCATTTATTTTCTGTTTGTAAGATTTCACTGTCTTGCTTTTCCTCCTATCCCTCTGGGTATTCCTGTTTGGTATTTTTGCTGGTACTTCCCAACTACACTGCCCTAGGGCCAATCCTTGGACCTCCTTTCCTCTTTTAAATCTACAATTACCCACTTGATGATCTCATCTAGCCTTCAAATATTATAAATATGCTGAGAAATACAAAATTTGTCTCCTGCATTCCACAATATAAATTCCATGAACGCAGGAATTGTTTACTTGGTACACTTTAGTTTCCCCAGTGCCTAGAAGAGTTTTTGGCTTCTAGCAGGCTCTCAACTATTTGCTGAATAAATGAATAAGTGAATGTGGGTGTAAAGCTTACTATAATTGTTAAATGGTGATTGCTTTAAAAATTAAAATATAAAAAAATTAAAACATAATATTAAAAAACCAATACCTATGTGGTACTAATACTGTAGCTGACTTCAGAAAAATATAAGGTGGGGAGGGCCATGTAATAAAACATGTTCAATGAACTTTTTTGGAATAAAAAATTTTCTGATACTGATTTTTCCTCAAGTTTCAGATGTATATAAAAAACCATTTAAATGTTATGTGTAACCAATTGAAGACCAGAAACAGGATGCATGACTTTCAAACTACTCGAGGGAGAGAAATAATAAGAAACTGGACCAATCTAATGCCAGGTGATAAAGTGGTAACACATGCTCATAATAACACAGCAAAAATAAATGCAAACATGTTCTCAATCACAATAAATAGGATAGGTTTAAACCCCCCCATTGAAAAAGAGCAACTCTTATACTGCGTTTTTTAAAAAGCCATAAAAATGTCCCCTACAAGAGTCACTGTTAAACATTACCCAGAATGTTAAAAAATACATGGAATTAAGAGTCAAAAGCATTAAATGGGACAAAGAAAAACTCACCAAAAAGATATTACACACATGAACTAAACAGCTTAAAATTACATAATGGAAAAACTGTTAGAGAATAGCAATGAAAATTTATCAGTTCACAATCATGGCTGAGACTTGAATAGATCTCAACTAGAAATGGACAGATCAAATAGAGAAGCCAAATAAGAAAAAGGATCTGAGTAACAGAATAAGGTGCTTGTTAATTTTGCTTTTAATAAACAGGGACTATATAAACTGACCATTTATCAATCTTCACAAAAATATCAATAAAAATGGAAATTATATCAGTTTAATGAAATATTAATAAAGTGGTATATTTTACAGTAGTGAAAGTAAATTAACTAGAAGTACATGTGTCAATATGTATAAATTTCCTAAATATAATATTAAATAAAATATATACATTATAGAAGGACATATTATTTTTAAAATTCACAAAAATATATGTATATTGTTCAGGGATACAGCACTTGTAAGAAAACTGCTCATTACTTACTACATGTAGAAGTAAATCTTAGCGTACCATTCTGAAAGATAATTTTAAGTTTCTATTAAAATTTAATAGCTATAGATCCGACAATTCAATATTTGCATGTACTTAAGATCCCTGGATAGTCACTGCAGCATGTTTCCAATAGTGAAAAAATAGAAACAATCAAAATTTCCAGCAGCAGGACAATGGTTAAATAAATTATGGCACACCCATGGAATAGTTTGTGACTATGGAAAGGGGTATGGTAGATCTAGAGGTGCTACCATAGAAACAGTCACAAGATACACACTAGGGTGAAAAAAACAGGTTGTAGAAAAATGAGTAAAAAAACAAAAGTTCATGTCTTATAGGAATATATGTATGTAAAGATGTAGATAAATTTTGGAATGGAGTATTATTTTTTAAAAGGCAAGCAGACATATATTATTAGTGCAACTGTACAAAAGAGTTAACTTAATCTATAGGGGCCTTCAACAGGGTCACACAGGCAGCAAATGGGTCTGGGACCAGAACTTCAGTATTACAACACACAACCCAGTGTTTTTTCACATTACACAACTTGTTATATTGGAATGAAAGTATATGGGTTTTGCAATCCTTCCGGCCTACGTTCAAATGCCAGCTTCATCCCTTCCTAGTTAGGTTACCTTGGGAAAAATAACTTAACTTTCTGCAAACTTTAGCATTTTCAACTATAAAATGGACAAATAAATACTAAGCCCACAAACTGTAAAGATTAAATGAAAACTACATGCAAATACTGCCTTTTCCCTTGGCCCACAGAATCAAGAGACTCTACCTCTTGATGTACTATTAACTAGCTAGGTCCAGAAATAGTGTTTGGCTACTCAACTCCAGGCACAAAGTTTATAAATATCTAGAACCTCTGTGGCACTATAAGTTAGATATTCTCCAAATATGTCCAAGGAGATAAAACTATTCCTACTGTCTGGCTTTTTCTTGTGGGTTTCACTGCCTCATGCTCTACCACCCTTCCCTCGGTCTTCCTGGCTCAGTGTCCCAGGATACAATGGAACACTAGGCATAAATGGGTTAAAATTTTTACTTGAAGAGTATTGTTTAGAAATTTAGTCTCATCATCGAAGAGAAAAGTCTGAAATGTTCCCAGTCTGAAATATTCAGTTACTTATGAAAGAAGAGAAAACGGCTGACGTTCAAAGAAATGGAGTAAGTTATCCATCCCCGAAATACAGAACTGTGTACTGTTTATTTGCATGGATCCATAATAAGCTCATAAATTCCCAGCATATTACAGAGTATATGCACCCAGGCCAGGTTCAAAGACAGGTTGGGTGCCTTGCTCACGTCGAAAATCTCAGCACTCTGGGAGGCTGGGGTGGGAGGACCACTTGAGCCCAGCAGTTTGAGACCAGCCTGGGCAACACAGTGGCAACCTGTCTCTACAATTTTTTTAAAAATGTATCAGCTGGGTGTGGTGATGTATGAGGTAGTCCCAACTACTCAGGAAGCGGAGGCAAGAGGATATCTTGAGCCCAGGAGGTTGGGGCTGCAGTGAGGGGTGATCACACCACCATACTCCAGCCTGGGTGACAGAGTGAATCCCTGTCTCAATAAAATAAAATGAAATAAAGAAGTGGTAGTTGTGAAGAAGATTCAATTCAAAATCTCATCTTGAATTGTAGCTCCCATAATTCCCATGTGTCATGAGAGGGACCCAAGGGGAGGTAACTGAATCATGGGGGTGGGTCTTTCCCACACTGTTCTTGTGATAGTGAATAAGTCACACCAGATCTGATGGTTTTATATAAAGGGGCGTTCCCCCGCACATGCTCTCTTTCCTGCCTCCATGTAAGATGTGATTTTGCTACTCCTTTGCCTTCTTTAAGGCCAGTGAATTTCTATTTCATTTTTCTATCGTGTTTTCTTTTTCTTATTAATTTGTAGATCTACACATTTAGGATATGTAGTCCTTGTGAGGGCTATGTACTATAAATATCTTTTTCCATTCCAGGACTTCTTTTTATTTTATTAAATATTTTAAATGAAGTGAAATGTAGTAATATTTTCCATTCTAGGTTTTGCTTTTTATCTTGTTTCGAACATCGAAACATATATATTCCTCTAAATATCTCAAAGTTTTACTTATCACATGTAGGATTCTAATCCACCTGGATAATTATGACATGAAGAAGGGATCTTGGTTTCCCCCATGAAACACTTTAACTCGTCATGGCCCACTATCTTGCGTATCAGTTGTTCACTATTTGAAATCCACTTCATTGTAACTTCTTTTAAAATAATAATAATTGTTGTTGTATACAATCAATGGTTAAGAACTGCTCTCATTTTTACTAATTTCTTTGTTCTCCATTGCTTCTTGAATTTCACCCCTTTTTATGTTAATTCATTTCATTTCTTCCTGATATGCACTCTTCAGTGGTTCTTTCAATGATGATCTGATACTGGTAAACTCTCAGTCTCTTATGAAAATAAATTTATTTTGTTCTCATTCCTAAATAACTTACCGAGGTATAGAAATCTAAGTGGCAGTTATTTTCTCTCACTTTTGAAGATATAGCCCACTGTCCTCTGGCTTCTGTCTGTTGCGATGGATTCGTCTATAATCAGGTCAACTGCAGTCCCTTTGTAGGAAGTCTGTCCTGTCTCTCTTTATCTTTGATTTTACAGTTTCACTTCAATGTGACTAAATATTTTTATTGATCTTGCTCAGGACATATGAATCTGAAGATTAATGTCTTTGTTCCTTCCTGGGAACTTTTCAACCATTATCTCTTGGGATACTGCCTTTCTCATTCTCTCTCCTCCTCATCTGTAACCCCTAATAGATGAATTTTGGACTGTCTCAGTCTATTTTCCACATGTTAAAAATATTTCATAATATTTGACATATCTTCATTTCTGTGTTACATTCTGTGCAGTTTCTTCAAAATTATCTTTCAGATTATTAACTGCTGCTACAGTTCTTATATGCTGTCTAGCCAACCTGGCCTCCAATGGCTATATTTACATTTCTAGAAATTCTATTTGATTCTTTATAGTGATCTGCTTTTTCATGCTAATTTTTCATTGTATCTTCAATGATTTTGAATATACTTAAGTAACAGACTCAACCAAATTATCCTATTATCCAGCTGTTAGGAATCCAATCATTCAGTTTACTGACTCTTGATCACAGAACTTCATATATTTTGTGCTTTGGATTACGAGCTCATTCTCATCTAGATTTTATCCATAGGAATCACATATGGCCAGTGTTAAGGGCTTTTCCTTCCAAAGAAGTTTTGCTTTTCTTTCTGCCAGCTATGTCTGCTCCTTCTCTGCTTGGGTAATGTAACTTCTAACCCTGAGCCCACATGAGGTGGTATGGAGCCATGTGTATACATTCTCAGAAGAGTCTTCTTTTCTACTCTGAGCCCAGGAGGAAATTTGCAGGTTTCATGTCATCAGCTTATACCAGACATAAGATTTTTTTCCTTGTCCATCCTTTTGACGAGAATTCTGGCGTTAGGTAGGTGGCATCTCACTTCCAGCTTCCCAAGGTCTAGTTTTCTGTCCCCACATGAGCACTAAAGTCCAAGTGCCTAGAATTCCATGAATCATGACACCTCTCCTCCCCCAAGTAACTCACAGTTCACACACCATTGCAGTTATTAGTTTCTTCTTTATTTCTGTCCCTGGCAATTTCTCTCAATTTCTTATAAGTACAGTGTGGTATTTAGTTACATTTAAAAGATTTTTATGACTGATTCTATATTACCAAAACCAAAATGATAAAACTTTATCAAGGAGGTATTTGTTTGTAAACGCTTAAACCATGTTTTTCCTCTGCTCTCAGACCAACACAACAATCATCACAGAAGACTTCTGTGACCAAATGTGAGGTATGAGGAGGTTCTCCCCATCATCAAGCAATCAATCAGTTCTGCAGCAGCCACCAACTGGGTGTCCTCCAATCAATTCTGACACTGTGTACCTGGAGATAGTGCTAGATCCCACAGGTTAAGGGCTCAGTTCCCAAGACTGCCCTCTTCAGTGAAATTTACAAGTCCAGGCCTCCAGAACTTCTGACTGACTAGCTTCAAGCTGGGGTTCACATGATCCCTCTTTGGATTCAAATAATTTGCTACAGCAGCTCATAGAACTCAGGGAAACACTTACTTACATTTATCGGCTTATTATAAAGGACACTGCAAAGCATACAGATGAAGAGATGCTATGGGTTGGCTGTGTCCCCACCCAAATCTCATCTTGAATTGTAGCTACCATAATTCCCACATGTCACGGGAGGGACCCAATGGGAGGTAACTGAATCATGGGGGCGGGTCTTTCCCATGCTGTTCTCATGACAGTGACTAAGTCTCATGAGATCTGACAGTTTTATAAAGGGGAGTTCCCCTGTACATGCCCTCTTGTCTGCCTCCATGTAAGATGTGACTTTGCTTCTCCTTTGCCTTCTGCCATGATTGTGGAAGTGTGAGTCCATCAAACCTCTTTCCTTTATAAATTACCCAATCTCAGGTATGTCTTCATTAGCAGCATGAGAACAGACTAATATAGATGTGTAGGATAGAGTATGGGGAAAGGGGCATGCAGCTTCCCTGCCAGCCCGGGTATGCCACCCTCCAGGAACCTCAACATGTTCAGCTATCTGGAAACTCCCAAACTCTGCCCTCTTGGGTCTTTTTATCGGGACTTCATTGGGGACTTTTTATGAGGCCTTTTTATGGGGACTTCATAAGCATGACTAAAACATGGAAAACCATGTTGAAATGTGACTGGATAAAAAAGATATGATCTAAACCCAGCAGGCCTGTCTGTTCAGATTCTTCTTGACCTCTCTGTGCAGCATTCCTTCCTCCAGGGTATGGGGCAGGATGCTCCCTGGAATGAAAGTCTTATGATCTTCAATCAGATTAGAGTCCTGCTGTGGGCAGGTGAAAGGCAGGCAGGAGAAAGAGAGAGAGAGTCTGTTTATCAAGGACTATGGTAGTTACGAGCCAGGAACTGTGGACAAAAACATATGTTATCTATCTACCTCATAACATCAAAGTATTCCATAATTTATTTTTGAGCATTTTCGTTTAAAAGCCTCTTTCTCAACACTATAGGCTTCATCTAACAAAGACTAGCAGATACCTCCGATTATTCATTCTCCAATTTTCCTTTAAAAAAAAAAAAGAGCCCTGGTTTTTAGCCAGACATATGAAATAAAGGTTACCTTTTTCAGGCTTTGTTGCAGTTAGACAGGGCCACTTGACCAAGTTTTGGCCAGTGAAGTACAGATAAAATTGTTTTTTGAGAATTTCTGGAAGGCCAATTAAAACGTGTTCCCTTAGCTCCAGGAGCATAGGTAAGGAATGGCAGCATCATGATTTTCATTCAGGTCTCCTGACCCACCCCAAGCCAACTGCTCCTTATTACACCTGCTTTCACTTATTTCAGCCTATGTTATTTCCTTAATCACTATAATCTCTGAGCCTGAAGCTGCTGTAGAGGCCAACTGTAAGGAGAAACAGGCAAGGAGGTCACTGTAAAGTGAGGACATGTGGAAAGGGAAAAGGAGGAAGATCTATATTTTCCCAAGCACAAGCTAAACAACTACATGAAGATCCACATTGCTTTTGGACTAGGATGTAGTACTGTGAATCAGTCAATCAATATACCACAATGTTTTCACCAATTTTTCTAGGTTACATTCCTCTGATCCCTCTGTCTTCAGTGCTTTGTTTTTCCAAAAAAAAAATTTTTAATTCCTAGGGAGCTACTCTGCTCTCCTACAATTAAGAAAACACTGCTGAAGAAGATACTAGAATTACACAGTACCATCTAAGAATGCTACTTTCTCTGTAGATCCTAACAGACTGCTTCCTGAGTAAAACCTATCACCAAAATATATGAGACATGTTTTTATGACTTCTGTATTAGCCTGGAACCAAACAACAGCCTCCTACTACCTGGGTAACTTCTGCTCTTATATATCTGACATTCAGATAATGAACTTTCAGGTTCATATCCTTCCCATTTTGACCACTCTACTGAACATCAATGTTCAACCCAATCTACGGCTTTAACCATGTTCCAAATTCTGCTATGTGAAAGGTGTGGGTATAGGAACAAAGACACAAATTGTTGCTCTCCTATCATTTGCTAGCAAAAGGCAAGAACCTTAAGTATGCATTCTTGCCTAAGGTTTTAGAATATTTATAAACGACTGCTATAATTCAGAATAACTTCAGGATTTTAATTATTTGGTGACATATATGTGGGATATTTTTCATAGTTCACTATTTAATACACATTAGAACCCAATATTTGTACTTATAACTCACAAAATTTACAATATTGAATCAAAGTATGAAGGATATATTTTACCTTTCTCTCCAAATAGGACGTCTTGACTTTGATTTGTTAAGTTCATATTATAAAAGACTTGAATCAAAACTCTTACTTGACTTTTATGTTCATCAACAAAGCAGGCAGACAGAGAGAATCAGACAGACATATTTGATAGCACATCTTCACAGTACTGGACCAAAAGGTTACTAAGTGTATTCTTTACTATAAGAACATAAAATCCTAATGTGACCCATTTATTTGGATAGAAAGCAGTCTGGAGGAGGTCATGTGACAGCAAAGATTGAGTCCAGAAAGGAAGTAATGTTTAAGTCACACTGATCTCCATTCACCACAAGCCCTAGTCCAAAACCTGCCTATCACTGTCCTTATGACTATATTTTTAAGCTTGATGATAGTAATATCTCAAAACCTTTCTCAATATCCTGGGGACAATGTATGTATATGGACAATTACAAGTAACCTCTTATTGTCAGATTAGTAAGAATAATTTTAAAGCAGTTGGAAGAGGTTTAGATGATATTATTTTAAAATAACTAACTTTAATAGGTTGGAGCTAGCTTAAACTGTGCCTAAATTATAAGGACCTTTCTGATCTGATGTGAAACCAGTTAAAAAAATCACTTTGAGGCCGGGCGCGGTGGCTCACGCCTGTAATCCCAGCCATTTGGGAGGCCGAGGCGGGCGGATCACGAGGTCAGGAGATCGAGACCATCCTGGCTAACACGGTGAAACCCCGTCTCTACTAAAAATACAAAAAATTAGCCGGGCGTGGTGGTGGGCGCCTGTAGTCCCAGCTACTCGGGAGGCTGAGGCAGGAGAATGGCATGAACCCAAGAGGCGGAGCTTGCAGTGAGCCGGGATAGCGCCACTGCAGTCCAGCTTGGGCGAAAGAGTGAGACTCCGTCTCAAAAAAAAAAAAAAAAAAAAAAAAAATCACTTTGAATTGCTACAAGCAGTTTAAACCATCTATTATAACCCTTTGAGGAAAAGGGACAATGCAAATATCTCACCTAGTCAATACTTACAGTGTCAACTGGATAGATATCATCCTTATCAGACAGGAAAAAAGGATTGTTTCGAAATTCTTTTGTATACACTTCCTGTACTCTAAATTCTAGAAATGGAGTTTTAGAAGGGTTAGAAGACAATTAATTAGAAAATAGGAAAAAAAGCAGAAAACATAGATTCTACTTTTCTAATTTAGAAAAATAACTCTTTAATGAGCAAAAACACTACTATGCTATGGTAGCACTACTATGGTAACCAATAAAACAATTCAGCACTGAAGTTCCATATTTTACTTAGCTTACATAATATATCAATACATCAGAGAATAAAGGGGTAAGGACTTACTTAAAGAGGAAAGGGAAGAAAATAATAAATCTAGAAAATCCTGTTTAATACACAAATGACTAGGCATTTTCTTTAATGCTAGATAGACAATGCCATAAATCGAGCTTGCTTGATTTTTTAAACACATTTTTTCTTTATCACAGGAGTGTTTACATAAAATGAAGTTACATTCTCAGCGTTTGGCACAATTACAGGAGAGCAGTGAGATCTAATATTATCCAGTTAAAACTTGTCTATCAAGTTTAAACAAAAATAACAAAATCTGCATTGTATTATAAGTTTGGTGCATTTGCTGTGTAAGTTAAATATTGCATCATGGGTAAAAAAAGTACTAATTAGATCAGATTACTAAGGTTTATACAAATCAAAAAAGAGATAACATCAACAACTTATAAATTAGAATAGTAAAAGTTGTGACCATGAAAAAACTGCATTTCATGAGCAAGTTAAAAATTACTTTCATTGTTAAAAAGCTCATATTGAGCCTTGCAATTACAAAACATGAACAAATGTAAAGATTTCATGGTTTTCTAGTTTTTTACAGTGGCTAGGTCAATCCTCCACTTTCCCCCAAACCTCTATCATAGTTACTCCGCATATTTCTGTATCTTGCTCCGAGAAGATGACATCACCTCTTATTTCACAGAGAATATAGAAGCCATCAGGCAAGAAGAACACCTTCAACTACTTGCCACTAAGCATACATATAGTGTCCTTGCATTCCATCCTCCTGTCATAATGGAAACAGCATCCCTCCTATTATCTAAGATTAAACTCTTTCCTTGGGCTTTAATTTTTATCTCCTACTCCCACCTGGGTCCTTATCACATCAATTATTCTCTTTCCTTTAAATTTAATCTTCTTTTTTCCATCAGCATTTAAACACGATCGAGGGTCTTCCATCTTAAAAAAAAAAAATCAATTCCATGTCCCTCAGGCTACTATCCTCTCTCTTCTTCAGAGACAAATTCTTGATATGGCTGTCAACACTTACCTCACTTAGTCCACTTTACCTTTTCTTCACATTTACTCAGCTTATCCAACTGTAATCTGATTATCACCTCCAATGTCTTCACAAAATCACCCATGACTTCCTTGTTGC
Organism: Homo sapiens; assembly: GCF_000001405.40. Taxonomy (NCBI): domain Eukaryota; kingdom Metazoa; phylum Chordata; class Mammalia; order Primates; family Hominidae; genus Homo; species Homo sapiens. Next base: position 17,041,409 of record NC_000008.11, on the reverse strand, counting down.
TAAATCCAATGCACACTTTGTATTTCTATCTCAGTTGACCTCCTTGGATAGCTTTCAGTATAACTGACTGCTTCCTTTCCGAAAATATAGTATTACCTTTTTTTGACTTCCATGGCCCCCTGACTTTTTTTTTTTTTTAACCTGTCTTGACCCAACTTTTCAGCTTTTGCAGACTTTCTTTTCTCTGCCGGTCCTTTAAGTAATGGATGCTCACCAGAGTTCTCTCCTTAGATGCTTTTCTCTTCTCATTCTACATATTCTGAACAATGTCATCCATTCTTATGATTTTTAATACGTGATGATTCCCAAATCTATTTCTATAGTAAGGATTTCTCTCCTGAGCTTCTGACTTATGCATCCAAATGGAAATTTACCTTCAGCTGTCCAAAAGACACCTTGATCTATTGTACAAGTTACAGATTCATCATCCATGCCCATTATTCCCAACCTGTTTTTTCTCCTGAAGGCCTAGTCTCAGTGAATTGCAGCAAATCCACCCAATTGCCCAAGACAAAACACTTGAATAACACCCTTGATTCTTCCATTTTCCTGACCCCTAAAACCCTAGAATTTTCCATTTATTATTTTCAGACAGAGGTTGGTCACTGGTAACTGAAATCATGGAAAGTTAACCAGCAGATACAGTGGGACTACCATATATAATTTTACATGTGCCACTATATAAAAATAAGAAAAACATTAAAGCATTTGACCAGCCACTAATACTGAAGTCTAAGGATGCCTCTAAAGAAAATGAATTTTTTTTCATATGTTTATGGGGGAGAAAATAAAAATATATAATCTCTGCATTTGCTATTTCATGAAACTGTAAGTTACTAAATTCACCATTACTGCTAAAGCTACTACGACTCAGTATCCAATCATTAATGCTTACAGGTAATACAAGGTAACAGACATCTATTATTTTCCCCTTCTGTTAGGGTGTTTATGTGATCTTCTGATCTCCATAAAGTCCAATGTAAATTTGCATGAATGAAATGATTCTGTATAAGCAAGATTTTGGAAGAACTATAATAATTAGAAAAATTGTAATTTATTTCTGGATTTTTAATTAATTTGGTCATTAAATAAGGATTTATTAAAATCTTTTGAGATACAAGACTTGTATGTTATAGCGTGGGTAATGAATAAATCTTCCTCAAAGAAGCTTTAAAAATTTAAGGTTAAAAATATGATAATGGGGCCAGGCACAGTGGCTCATGCCTATAATCCCAACACTTCGGGAGGCCGAGGTGGGCGGATCACCTGAGATCGGGAGTTCGAGACCAGCCTGACCAACATGGAGAAACCCCGTCTCTACTAAAAATACAAAAATTAGCCAGGCGTGCTGGCGCATGCTTGTAATCCCAGCTACTCAGGAGGCTAAGGCAAGAGAATCACTTGAACATGGGAGGTGGAGGTTGCAGTGAGCTGAGATCGTGCCATTCTACTTCAGCCTGGGCAACAAGAGCGAAACTCCATCTCAAAAAAAAAAAAAAAAAAAAAAAAAAAAAGAATGCAAGATGATGGATACCTTCATGAGCTTGATTTAATCACTCAACAATATATACACATATCAAAATATTACACTGAGCCATAAATATATAAAATTATTTTATAGGGTTAATATCATTGTTTAATGATCCCAAATGTTTCCTTTAATCTTTGGGTAGAAAATAGCATTCATTTCTCAAAAATTACTAGAGATAAATTACATATTCAATCTGTAAGAGGACAGCTACATATTACTTAGCACTTATAAAATAGTCCAGCCCCAAATTATGTATGTATAATCCTATATATAGCATTATATGTGAGAATCAATTAAGAAGTCACATTAAACCCAAATATTTACTAAAACTGAAAAGTAATCTCTACTCAAATCATTGTATGTGACTCTATTAGATGGTCAGGCCATTATAAGGCATCCAGACTCTCGTGCACTTGAAGAAACTAAGAGAGGGGATCAGCTATTTAGCTTCTCATACAACAATGCTATTCCACATAGAATTAGCTTATCTTCAATTTCATGTCTATGTAACTTCCCTCACTATAAAAAACTGGGACTTTTCTCCATTTACAGGCATACTTCGGATACACTGAAGGTTCAGTTCCACACCACCACAATAAAACAAATATTGCAATAAAGCGAGCCACATAAATATTCTGGTTTCCCAGTGCATATAAAAGTTATGTTTATGCTACAATTAGCCTATTAAGTGTGCAACAGCATTATGTCTACAACAGTACATAACTTAATTTAAAAATACTTTATTGCTAAAAAAGTGCTAATGATCATCTGAGCCTTCAGCAAATCAAAATTTTTTGATGCTGAAGGGTCTTGCCTTGATGTTGATGGCTACTAACTGATCAGAGTGGTGGTTGCTGAAATTTGAGGTGGCTGTGTCAATTTCTTATTTTTATTTATTTATTATTTATTTATTTTTTTTTTTTTTTGAGACAGAGTCTCGCTCTGTCGCCCAGGCTGGAGTGCAGTGGCACAATCTCAGCTCACTGCAAGCTCCACCTCCCAGGTTCAAGCCATTCTCCTGCCTCAGCCTCCCGAGCAGCTGGGACTACAGGCGACTGCCACCACGCCTGGCTAATTTTTTGTACTTTCAGTAGAGACGGGGTTTCACCGTGTTAGCCAGGATGGTATCAATCTCCTGACCTCATGATCTGCCTGCCTTGGCCTCCCAAAGTACTGGGATTACAAATAAGTCAACAATGAAGTCTGCCACATCGACGGACTCTTCCTTTTGTGAAAAAAAAATTTCTCTGTAGCAGGTGATGCTGTTTGATAGCATTTTACTCACAGTAGAACTTCTCCAAAACTGGAGTCCATCCTCTCAAACCTTGTGTATTAGTCTGTTCTCATGCTGCTAATAAATACATACCCGAGACTGGGTAATTTATAAAGGAAAGTGGTTTAATTGACTAACAGTTGCACAAGGCTGGGGAGGTCTCACAGTCATGTCAGAAGGCAAATGAGGAGCAAAGTCATGTCTTAACATGGCAGCAGTCAAGAGAGCATGTGCAGAGGAACTCTCCTTTATAAAACCATCAGATCTTGTGAGACTTATTCAACATCATGACAACAGCATGGGAAAAACCCACCCCCACGATTCAATTATCTCCCACCGGGTCCCTCCCATGACACGTGGGGATTATTACAATTCAAGGCAAGATGTGGGTGGGACACACAGCCAAACCATATTATTCCACCTCTGGGCCCTCCCAAATCACATTACAAAATTGATCGTGCCTTCCAACAGTCCCCCAAAGTCTTAACTCATTTCAGTATTAAGTCAAAAGTCCACAGTCCAAAATCTAATCTGAGACAAGGCAAGTCCTTTCTGCCTATGAGCCTATAAAATCAAAAGCAAGTTACTTACTTCCTAGATACAAAGGGGGTAGAGACATTGGGTAAACACACCCATTCCAAATGGGAGAAACTGTACAAAACAAAGGGGCTACAGTCCCATGCCAGTCCAAAATCCAACAGGACAGGCAAATCTTAAAGCTCCAAAATGATCTCCTTTGACTCCATGTCTCACATCCAGGTCACACTGATCCAAGAGGTAGGCTCCCACGGCCTTGGGCAGTTCTTCCCCTGTGGCTTTGCAGGGTACAGCCCCACTCCCGGCTGCTTTCATGGGCTGATGTTGAGTGTCTGTGGCTTTTCCAGGTGCATGGTGCAAGCTATTGGTGGATTTACCATTCTGGGGTCTGGAGGATGGTGGCCCTCTTGTCACAGTTCCACTAGGCAGTGCCCAGTGGGAACTCTGTGTGTGGGCTCTGACCCCACATATCCCTTCTGCACTGCCCTAGCAGAGGTTCTCCATGAGGGCTCTGTCCTTGCAGCAGACTTCTACCTGGACATCCAGGCGTTTCCATACACCACATGGAAACCTCCAAGGCTTAGGGCTTGCACCTTCTGAAGCAATGGCCTGAGCTCTACATTGGCCCATTTTGGCCATGGCTGGGACACAGGGTACCAAGTCTCAAGAATGTACAAAGCAGCAAGGTGAGAGGTGACAGCGTGCTGGCAGTCTTCACAGTCCTCGCTCGCTCTCGGCACCTCCTCTGCCTGGGCTCCCACTTTGGCAGCACTTGAGGAGCTCTTCGGCCCGCCGCTGCACTGTGGGAGCCCCTTTCTGGGCTGGCCAAGGCTGGAGCCCATTCCCTCAGCTTGCAGGGAGGTATGGAGGGAGAGGCGCGAGCAGGAACTGGGGCTGCGTGTGGCGCTTGTGGGCCAGCTGGAGTTCCAGGTGGGCGTGGGCTTGGCAGGCCCCGCAGTCGGAGCAGCCGGCCAGCCCTGCTGGCCCCGGGCAGTGAGGGACTTAGCACCCGGGCCAGTGGCTGCGGAAGGTGTACTGGGTCCCCCAGCAGTGCCAGCCCACGGGCGCTGCGCTCGATTTCTCGCCGAGCCTTAGCTGCCTTCCCGCGGGGCAGGACTCGGGACCTGCAGCCCGCCATGCCTGAGCCTCCCACCCACTCCGTGGGCTCCTGTGCGGCCCAAGCCTCCCCAACGAGCACCACCCCCTGCGCCACGGTGCCCAGTGCCATCGACCACCCAAGGGCTGAGGAGTGCGAGCGCACGGCGCGGGACTGGCAGGTAGCTCCACCTGCAGCCCTGGTGCGGGATCCACTGGGTGAGGCCAGCTGGGCTCCTGAGTCTGGTGGGGACGTGGAGAGTCTTTATATCTAGCTCAGGGATTGTAAACACACCAATCAGCACCCTGTGTCTAGCTCAAGGTTTGTGACTGCACCAATCGACAATCTGTATCTAGCTGCTCTGGTGGGGCCTTGGAGAACCTGTGTGTCGAAACTCTGTATCTAACTAATCTGATGGGGATGTGGAGAACCTTTGTATCTAGCTCAGGGATTGTAAACGCACCAATCAGCACCCTGACAAAACAGGCCACTCGGCTCTACCAATCAGCAGGATGTGGATGGGGCCAGATAAGAGAATAAAAGCAGGCTGCCCGAGCCAGCATTGGCAACCCGCTCGGGTCCCCTTCCACACTGTGGAAGCTTTGTTCTTTCGCTCTTTGCAATAAATCTTGCTACTGCTCACTCTTTGGGTCCACGCTGCTTTTATGAGCTGTAACACTCACAGCGAAGATCTGCAGCTTCACTCCTGAGCCCAGCAAGACCACGAGCCCACCGGCAGGAATGAACAACTCCAGACACGCTACCCTAAGAGCTGTAACACTCACCGCAAAGGTCTGCAGCTTCACTCTTGAGCCAGCGAGACCACGAACCCACCAGAAGGAAGAAACTCCGAACACATCTGAACATCAGAAGGGACAGACTCCAGACGTGCCACCTTAAGAGCTGTAACACTCACCGCGAGGGTCCGCGGCTTCATTCTTGAAGTCAGTGAGACCAAGAACCCATCAATTCCGGACACAAAGGTACTAGTCCCGGCCCATAAAACCATTTTTTCCTCCTAGGCTTCCAGGTCTGTGGTGGGTGGGGCTGCTGTGAAGACCTTTGACCTTGCCTAGAGACATTCTTCCCACTGTCTTGGTGACTAACATTTGGCTCCTTACTTTTGCAAATTTCTGCAGCTGGCTTGAATTTCTCCTGAGAAAATGGGGTTTTCTTTTCTATCACATCATCAGGTTGCAAACTTTCTGAACTTTTATGCTCTGCTCCCCTTTTAAACATAACTTCCAATTCCAAACCATATCTTTGTGAATACATAAAACTGAATGCCTTTAACATCACCCAAGTCACATCTTGAACACTTTGCTGCTTAAAGATTTCTTCCAACAGATAGCCAAAATTATCTCTCTCAAGTTCAAAATTCCACAAATCTCTAGGGCAGGGACAACATGCCACTAGTCTCTTTGCTAAAACATACCAAGAGTCACCTTTGCTCCAGTTCCCAACAAGTTCCTCGTCTCCATTAGAGATCAACTCAGCCTGGACTTTACTGTCCACATCACTATCAGCATTTTGGTCAAAGCCATTCAACAAGTCTGTAGGAAGTTCCAAACTTTCCCATATTTTTGTGTTTTCTTCTAAGCCCTCCAAACTGTTCCAACCTCTGCCTATTACCCAGTTCCAAAGTCACTTCCACATTTTTGGTTATCTTTACAACAGCACCCCCCTCTACCAGTATCCATTTACTCTGTTAGTCTGTTCTCACACTGCTAATAAAAACATACCCAAGACTGGGTAATGTATAAAGGAAAGATGTTTAATTGACTCACAGTTCCACAAGGCTGGGAAGGCCTCACAATCATGGCGAAAGGTGAAAGAGGAGCAGAGTCACCTCTTACATGGCGGCAGGAAAGACAGTATGTGCAGGGGTACTCCCCTTTATAAAACATCAGATCTTGTGAGACTTATTCACTATCATGATGACAGCGTGGGAAAAACCAGCCCCCATGATTCAATCACCTCCCACTGGGTCCCTCTCATGACATATGTGTGTTATTACACTTCAAGGTATGACTTGGGTGGGACACTGAGCCAAACTATATCACCTTGCCACTGCTCTATCAAATAAGCTCATGGAATATTCCAAATCTTTGTTGTCATTTCAACAATGTTCACAGCATCTTCACCAGGATTAGACTACATCTCAAGAAACCATTTTCTTTGCTCATTCATAGAGGCAAGTCCTCGTCTGTTAAAGTTTTATCATGAAATTGCAGCAATTCAGTCATATCTTTAGGCTCCATTTCTAATTGTAGTTCTCTTGCTATTTCACCACCTCTGCAGCTACTTCCTTCACTGAAATCTTGAATCCCTTGAGGTCATCCATGAAAGTTGGAATTAACTTTTCCAAACTCCTACTAATGTTGATACTTTTACCTCTACCAGTGAATCACAGATATTCTTAATGGCATCTAGAATGGTAAATCCTTTCCAGAAAGTTTTCAATTCACTTTGCCCAGATCCATCAGAGGAATCACTATCTATGGCAGCTATAGCCTTACAAAATGTGTTTCTTAAATAATAAGATGTGAAAGTCAAAATTACTCCTTGATCCATGGACTGCAGAATGGATACTGTGTTAGCAGACATAAAAACACTGATCTCCTTGTAAATCTCCATCAGACCTCTTGGGTGACTACGTACATTGTCAATGAGCAGTAATATTTTCAACTGAATCTTTTTTTCTAAGCAGCAGGTCTCAATAGTGAGCTTAAAACAATCAGTAAACCATGCTGTAAACAGATGTGTTGTCATCCAAGCTTTGCAGTCCCCCTAACATAACACAGGTAGCATAGATTTAGCATAATTCTTAAGGGCCCTAGGATTTTCAGAATGGTAAATGAGCACTGCCTTCAACTTCAAGTCACCAGCTGCATTAGCCCCTAACAAAAGGGCCAGCCTATCCTTTGAAGTTTTGAAGCCAGGTATTGACCTCTCTCTAGCTATCAAAGTCCTAGACGGCAGCCTTTTGCACTAACAGGCTGTTTCATCTCTATTGAAAATCTGTTGTTCAGTGTAACCACCTTCATCAGTTATCCTAGCTAGATCTTCTGGATCACCTGCTACCCCCTGCACATCATCATTTCCACTTCACCTTGCACTTTTATGTTATGGAGAAGGCTTCTTTCCTTAAATCTCATGAACCATTCTCTGCTAACTTCCAACTTTTCTTCTGCAGCTTCCTTACTTTTCACAACTTTAAAATAATTGATGATAGTTGGCCAGGCACGGTGGCTCACACTGTAATCCCAGCAATTTGGGAGGCCAAGTCGGGCAAATCACGAAGTCAGGACATCAAGACCATCCTGGCAAACACAGTGAAATCCCGTCTCTACTAAAAATACAAAAAAATTAGCTGGGTGTGGTGGTGGGAGCCTGCAGTCCCAGCTACTCGGGAGGCTGAGGCAGAAGAATGGTATGAACCCGGCGAGGCGGAGCTTGCAGTGAGTGGAGATCACGCCACTGCACTCCAGCCTGGGCGACAGAGCAAGACTCGGTCTCAAAAAAAAAAATTGATGATAATTAAGGCCTTAATCTGGATTAAGCTCTGTCTTAAGGGAATGTTGTGGTTTGGTCTTCTACATAGACCACTAAAACTTGCTCCATCTCAGCAGTAAGGCTGTTTTGTCTCCTTATAATCTGTGTGTTCACAAAGAGCACTTTTAATTTCCTTCAAAAACTTTTCCGCTGCATTCACAACTTCGCTAACTCTTTCCACAAGAGACCTATCTTTTGGCTTATGTAGTATTTCAACATGCCTTCCTCATTAAGCTTAATCATTTCTAGCTTTTGATTTAAAGTGAGAGATGTGCAACTCTTCCTTCCACGTGAACACTTAGAGGCCATTCTAGGATTAGTAACTGACCTAATTTCAGTATTTTTGTGACTGAGGGAACAGGGAGGCCCGAGAAGAGGGAAAGAGACTAGGGAAAAGCTGGTTCATGGAGGAAACTACACATAACATTTATTCTTTGCTGTCTTATATGGGTGCGGTTCATGGTGCATGGTACAATTACAATAGTAAGGTCAAAGATAAATGATCACAGATTACCATAACAGATAAAATAATAACGAAAAAGTCTGAAATACTGCAAGAATTATCAAAACATGACACAGAAACATTAAGTACGCGTATAATGTTGGAAAAATGGTGCCAACTGATTTGCTCAATTCACTGTTGCCACAAATCTTGAACTTGTAAAAAATGCAGTATCTGTGAAGCACAAGAAAATGAAGCACGGCAAAACGTATGCCTGTAAGCATCTGGCAAATTCTTCGATATTCTGGGAAAAAGCATTATATCCTCACATCTCAAGATATGCTGCCTTGACAAAAGAGGCTGGAAAACATATGGTAAAGGAAACTTAATAATGTATGACTATTTGCAATTATTACAGATATGAAAGAGATAAAAAATTTGTCTAACTAGTTTTCCACTCCACAGTAATACTCAAATATGTTGCTTGAAGCTTTTTAAGGCGAACAAATCATAAAACAAGATCATGTCTTCTGTACAATTAAGTAAAACACTGAAGTATGTTAAGCAATCTAATCGTTTTTTTATTCTGGGCATGAAAAAAAAAGGCAGTTCTAGAACAAAATTTTTTCCCACTAATAAAAATAGTGCTTTAAGGCTAAAACTTTGAGGTTCTAATCAGAATCATCTCTTTATAATATAAATAAAGGCCAAAGCCATAGTTTGCTAAAAAATTTTGGCAACCCAAACTTGCACAATTAAAATAAATACAGTGCCACGTGATCTGATCTCCCAAAGCCTGGAATTTTGACCTTTACTGAAGTCGTCCCAATTCAAATGCTAAAAATAACTGCTTTAGCTGAACAAAATATTAAACTCATTTCTCAGTGTATGTTCCATACAAATATTTAGCATGAGCTTATTTATTCAACAAATACATATTGTGCCTATCAGGCTAGGACCCTTAACAGGCAATGAAGACATAAATGTGACAAAGACGAACACAGTGCCTCTCCTTAAGGGGCTAAGACAAGTAAAGAAGACAAACAATGATCAAATAATTACAAAAAAAGACATTATCTGAAAGTAGAGAGAGATATTTCAACAAATCTATAGAGTCAGGGAAGGCATTCCGAGTTGAGAGCCAATGTCTTTGACATAAAAATCTTCAAGGCTATCATATAAGAGAACTGTATTTCTGTAAGTTACTGCTGTTCACTTACATCAGTTAAATTATTCTTATAACACATACAGGTTAATTTACACGCCAGGCTTATGCTCAGCAGCATATTATACTTAAAAGACACTTTATAAATCAGAAGTTCTTAGCTATAGTTTTAAACATCAAAATGAATCATTTATATCACTTCAGAAAAATCAAAAATAATAAATGGGCTGGGTGCAGCGGCTCACGACTGTATTCCCAGCACTTTGCAAGCTGAGGCAGGCGGAACTTGAGGTCAGGAGTTTGAGACCAGCATAGCCAACATAGTGAAACCCTGTCTCTACTAAAAATACAAAAAAAATTAGCTGGTCATGGTGGCCGGCGCCTGTAATCCTAGCTACTTGGGAGGCTGAGGTGGAAGAATCACTTGAACCTGGGAGGTGAAGTTCCAGTGACTGAGATCACACCCCTGCAGTCCAGCCTGAGCGATAGAGCGATGCTATGTCTCAAAATAATAATAATAATAATAATAATAATAATAATAATAATAAATGAAGTGGCAGCATAGGTTTAAAATAAAATTTCTTTTTCTTTCTTGAGCCAAGTCATGCTCTGTCCCCTAGGCTGGAATGGAGTGGTGCAATAATAGCCCACGGCAGGCTTGAATTCCTGGTCTCACATGATCCTCCTATCTCAGCCCCCTGAGTAGCTGGGACTACAAGCACATGCCACTAAAATAGTATTTCTGAAAAATGGCAGATTGACTCCATGATTCTATTTCAACATCTTCTTCCCCTAACCACATTAAATTCACAGTAAAGGAGTATAAAAAGGTAAAAATACAAAAGAGCTAAGATAGAGAAAAGAATGGGAAACTAAAACATTCAAGAGAATTTATAAAATTTTTATAAAATTGAAGAGATGGAGGAGTGATAATTGACTTAAGAGAACAGAGGCACTACCTGAGTTCTGCAGAGACCAAATAGAAGTAAGGTATTAATATTTGCTATACAGAATCCCAAAACGGACAAGGCCTTGGGAACTATGGAGCTATGGAATCAGAGTAAGTAGTTGGGCTAAAAGCAGAGGATTAGATAACAATACCTAAGTATATCATTAGATACTCACCAACATAAGTGCTGTTACATATATGTGCACCTGTGCCTGCTTCCAGAAGACTACTACACCTCCCATCTCTATTTTTTGTAGACGCTCAACAGCATCAGAGAAAAAGAGGTATAAAATACTGACATTTGGATGTTACACTAATAAGAAGCCCATAATACTCACCAACATAAGTGGTGTTACATATATGTGCACATGTGCCTGCTGCCAGAAGACTACTGCACCTCTCATCTCTCCTATTTTTTGTAGACGCTCAACAGCATCAGAGAAAAAGAGCTGTAAAATACTGACATTTGGATGTTACACTAATAAGAAGCCCTTTCGTGCAGATGAAAGGACATGTTATGCACAGACACCCTCTGAGAGGTTCTCAAGTAAGAGACAGGTAACAACCACAGATATGTGAGGAAAACCTCCAAAATGAAAGCAAGAGCTTATAAAATCAAACAGAAATAAAAAAGAACCTGGAAGAAACAAAGCAATGCACAGAGAAGGCCAAAGTTATAATTTATATCCTTAGAAGGCAAAACAAAGTTATAATTTATATCCTTACAGCAAAAAGAGAAAATATAGCAGCCATATAGAAAGCAAAATAGAATGCTATAACTCATCAACAACAGAGAACACAAAGTCGCTCTTTGAATTAAAAAAGTAGAATAGCAGAAATAAAAAAATTCAGTAGGAAGGTTGGAAGATAAAGCCCAGGATATCTGCTATAAAAACAAATAAACAGATGAAAATATTTTTTAAAACCGAAATATAAGAATGATTAGAATTAGATTAGGATCTGTCAGGAAATTTAACTTCAAAGAAACAGCATTTCCAGAAAAAGAGAATAGAAAGAGGGAGAAGAGAAAAATCATCAAAGAAACAATAGAAGAAAATTACACAGAATTTTTTAGACACGGATTTCCATATTGAAAGGCCTCTTAAGAACCTAGCACAATCAGTGAAAAAATACACATCCCGAAGCTCATTACTGTGAAAATTTCAAGCACCAGGGATAAACAGATCATAAAAGTTTTCAGAGAGGGAAATACAAAAGGCATGACAATCAGAAAGTAGGACTAGAGGCTAGGGAAGCATAAGACACAGGACTTTAACATTATTTGACTTCTAAAACAATGAACAGAAATTTTTATAAACACTAAGCAATAATAACTGCACAAAAGTACAAAATAAATAAACGAATAAAAAATAATTTTTTTTTTTGAGATGGAGTTTCGCTCTTGTCACCCAGGCTGGGGTGCAGAGGTGTGATTTCGGCTCACTGCAACCTCTGTCTCCCAGGTTCAAGTGATTCTCCTACCTCAGCCTTGCCAGTAGCTGGGATTACAAGCGCCCAACACCACACCCGGCTGATTTTTGTATTTTTAGTAGAGACGAGGTTTCGCCATGTTGGCCAGGCTTGTCTCGAACTCCTGACCTCAGGTGATCTGCTTGCCTCGACCTCCCAAAGTGCTGGGATTACAGGCGTGAGCCACCACGCTCAGCCAAAAAATAAATTTATTTAATGTTCTTTAGTAGTACCATTGTTTTAAATATACTGTGTTAACTCATTTAACTCTCATAACACCCCAGGAGACTATTAGCCTCATTTCACAGGTGAGGAAACAGGCATTGACAGGTCAAGTAATTTCTCCATAATGACACAAGTAGCAAGTCGTGGAGCCAAAGTTCTAGCTTTCTGAACGTGGTCTTTTTAAAAACTGCAAGATAACATCTCTCAACTGTAAAAGTAAAATTAATTTTAAGAAAGAAAAGAAAATACTACTTGAATTCCCTACCTTGCTGATCTGTTCCTAGACCAACTATGGTTAATTAAAAGTTCTGCCATCATGAAAAACGCTATGCTCCTTGCCAAGCCACAAAAGTGGATGTGTATTTGTGAAGGGGGAGGGGGTGGAGATTTGAGGGTATTTCCTAGTATTTTGAATATTCATGTGTAAAAGGACTTTATGTTATGTGCTTGTGATCTGCTGCTAGATAGTCCATAAAGCAGATTCCGTAACCTAATTGCATTGACAACCTCCACCAAAGGAAATGATGCACTTACATCAGATCACCACTGCGTATTAAGAACAAAGCCTATAAAAATTGCATTAGAAACAGCATAGCTCTCTGTTTTCTAAATTATTTTCATCTACGCCGTTCACATTCTTCGAGCCTTGCAAGGAAAATCTCCTTAATTTTCCTAGTCATTTACATGACTATTAAATATACTGATGCGACAAAAAAAATCACGCTCCTTTACTCACTGTTGCCTTTCACACATCTTTACCTTGTATTATTAACTACATAATGACAGTTGAACATTTTCACGTGACTTTCTTCTGTAGGAGTTTGTGTCATTCACAGCCTCCTACATTTGCTATCCTATCCATTTTGTGTTTTATCGTTACCTACTAACGGGATTCTGGCTTTAGTGGGGGAAGGAAAAAGAGAGAAATACTTATGTCTCTTTTTGAACAATTTTTTATTTCTTTTCAGACCTGGTAACATCAACATTCCCTGGGTATGATAAGGGCGTTAGCATGCAGGTTTAGCATTTCCTTTCTTGGGACTAATAAATTCTCATATGCTAAAGTAGTGGCTTTTGAGATCTCAGACCGCTGCTTCGAAACTCATTCTAATGCAACAGACCTCCTGGGTCATTAGCTGTCGCCCCGCGCAATCTAGGAGTTCCTTTTTCCCACACCTACAGCGGTCCACTTTCTGCCTGTCATGGCCTTCATTTCTGAATCTTTTTTTGTAAGAGGGGGAGGGGTGTTGGTTTTGGGTTTGGATTGATACTTGGTAGCTGCAGCCACCTTTAAGGTCCTGATGCATCAGGGACAGCATCACTGGTCTTCCCAATACGTGGGTGACCGGATCCTAGGCTGTCCGGCCTAGGTGTCAGCCTCGCTCACGGGAAGTTCCTCACCCGCGGCCACAGCGCTTGCACCGTCCCCACAGCCTCCAGGGTCCTGCGTACCCGGCACGAAGGTCACATCCCCCGCGCAGGTGTGACGCGCGCTCGCGCACTCACCGTCTCCTTGGCAGCCGCCACTGGGATGGGCAGCATCCCCCGGCCGCGGGGCGGGTCCTCGGGCTCCGTGGCCGCGCTCTTTGAGGGTCGCCCGGTCGCCGGCGAGCCGGCCCTGGGGTCCCCGTACAGCTGGTAGCATACCAGGCCGACCAGCCCCCCGCCGGCCGCCGCCGCCACGCTCAGCTCCCCCCAGCGCCGCCGCCGCCTCCATGCCGCCTCCGCCACAGCCCTCTCCTCATCCTCTCGGGAGGAGAAGGGCCGGCCAGGAAGGCCCAGGGTGGTCACCGCAGGCCGCCCCCACGGCCCAAGGAGGGGCTGGTGAGCGCAGAGTGGAGGAGACACCCGGGGTGGCGGCCACAAGAGCCTTCGCAGCGCAGCCATAGCGGAGGCCGCCCACACCAGAGCTGGGAGGGGGCAGAGAACGGAGGGGCGGGGGCGGGGGGGGGGGTCGCCGAAATCTCGCGAGAAGTCGGTGCCGCGAGCTTCGCGGCCGGCCGAGAGCGACCCCTACACTCGCGCGGCCCCGGGGACCCGCGACGCCACCTTCAGCGTAGCGGTCCCGTGGTTCGGCCCGGGAAGATCATGGAAGAGGCGGCGGATCCCGGCTGCTCCCCGGCCCCGAACCCCCAGCCCAACCACGCAGTCATAAATAACCGCGCCAGCCCGGCGACACCTGGCTACGCGACAGCGCGACACTGCGGGCACAGCCGAGTCAGCGTAACTGAGGCGCGGCCGAGTGCGGGGCTCTCTGGGGCCCGCGCCGCTGCTACGGGCGGGGTGGGTCTCCGAGCTGGGCTCAGCGCCCGTCTGGGACACTCACATTCCCTAACGGTCTCCTGACCTCAGGAAACTCAAGGTCTTGACTCAAGGTCGTGAACGATTTGCAATTGTATCTTCACATATACGACACAAATGAGGTATAAGCATTTGGCTCAAGTCATAACGATTGCAAATTAAGGCAAACACTTTGACGACTGAAGGGCAGCTTCCGGACTTTTGATGGGAGAAGGCTAATGCTGTTTTTTAGAAGCATTAGCACACCCGCGGTCACTTAATTCAACAAATCAGAACTGTCTTGTGCATATAAAAGTTAAAAATTTTAAAACTTCTGTGAATAAAGATAAAATCTTGAACGATACCCTGATTTTTCAGGGAAGCGCTGTTTGTATAAATATAAAATAAATGAGAAGCGTATTGTGTCATCTTTTTGTTTTTACTGTACTTTTTGTTTGCTATGTTATCAGTATCAGTTTTTATGAGAAAGTGTAGATGAAGTTCCTATCAGTTTCTCTCCCCAGACCCCAGTTTTGGTAACTTGAATTATGTTAGCTTTTTCTTCCTACTATGGAATGGTGCCAGGAGTCCCTAAAATATTGTGGATCTAAGGGGACAGACAACTAAATACAGTGGTCTCAATTGGGCTGCAGTGACAAGAGAATACACCATCAGTTGATTCTGGCAATTCTTGTAAAGACTAAAGGCTTTCAGAGACGACCAAATGAGTTTTTTCTGGCTCAGGTCCTACAATTTCTTCCCTTTTTTTTTTCTTTTTTTGAGACGGAGTCTTGCTCTGTTGCCCAGGCTAGAGTGCAGTGGCACATTCTCGGCTCACTGCAACGTCCGTCTCCCTGGTTCAAGCGATTCTCCTGCCTCAGCCTCCCGAGTAGCTGGGATTACAGGCACCCGCCACCGTGCCTGGCTAATTTTTGTGTTTTTAGTAGAGATGGGGGTCTCACCATCTTGGCCTGGCTGGCCTCGAACTCCTGGAGGTCCTGCAATTTCTATTCCTAACACCTTGCATGTAAATAGCACATCAGGTACACCCTGTTACCTCTTATTTTAATAGAGGTTAATGGCATTTTGCTTTCTTAAAGCTGCTAAAAGCGGTAAGAAGAAAAATCTTCTGTAGCAGATGAACAAATTTTGTGTATTTTAAAACCTGTCTCTGAGTTTTCTTCAGTTTCAGCCTGTGGGTTTTATGGAGTCAATGCCTAAGGAAGACTCTGATAGCGTCTTGCTTTATCACCAAATTTTCCTCAATTTATGCTTTCTCTATATTCTGTGAAATGGTAGTTTCCCCAAATAAATTATCTTCTGGGTAATAATTATATATATTATATATAATATAATAATCATATTGGCCGGGCGTGGTGGCTCACACTTGTAATCCCAGCACTTTGGGAGGCCGAGGCGGGTGGATCATGAGGTCAGGAGATAGAGCCCATCCTGGCTAACACGGTGAAACCCCATCTCTACTAAAAATACAAAAAACTTAAAAAAAAAAAAGCCAGGTGTGGTGGCATGCGCCTGTAGTCCCAACTACTCAGGAGCCTGGGACAGGAGAACTGTTTGAACCCGGGAGGTGGAGGTTTCAGTGAGCCGAGACTGTGCCGCTGCACTCCAGCGTGGGTGACAGAGCGAAACTCTGTCTCAAAAAAAAAAAATTATAATAATAGTTCTGACACTGTTTACTTTGAACTGAACATGATTTCCTGATTTTCTCATAAATTCTTATTATAGTCTAATGCCAGAATTCTTGGACAAACTGATCAATTTTTACTAGTTGCATGTTAAAAGCTAAGTAGTTCTAAAGAAGATTAGGGAGGTAATACAATAACATCACATTACAGATGAGGAAAATGACATCCTTCATCTAAGATGACAAATACAGACACATACGTATAGATTTCTATGTAGTTTCTCTATAGTTTTCTAAATTTGATAGAGCTCCTGCAAACAATTTATCTGGTTAGAAGCTAAGTACTGCTGTGAGAAGGGCTAAGTTTATGTTTGTAGATCAGTCAGAGAACTTTGGATAAAATACCTCTCACGTGCAAAAACAGCTTTACTAATAATTTTCAACAGTACTTTCCCTCTAAAGGTGAAATTTCCTTAAGAATAGTTACTGTTTTCTTCCCACGTTTGATGCTCTGTAACTATAGCTACACAAAAATAACCAAATTCCCTTGTTATGTGGATATTTTTCTGAGTTTAATTCCCAGAGGAAAAATTTTAAGAAAATATGATATTAGGAATTTGGAACCTTTTTTTTTTGAAATTTCAGGTAATATTGTTGGATCAATATAGAGTCAACCCAGTATCCCTTATCTTTTATGTCAATTCTACTGAGCATTAAGAATAACCCCCAAAATGCCCCTACTCCACAGTGAGAGCCCACACCTTGAAAGAAATATCCACTTATCGTTCACTATGGTCTAAATAAAAAGAAATGTTCTGAAACAATAAAAATGTTTCAAACAATGGGGATTAAGCCAAAAAGGGTTTTCCAGGAAAGCATATACCTCAGTGAATAAGTAATAAATTAGAAGTGAAGAAATCTGGACTCCAGTCTTGGATTTGCTGCATCTTAATTATAATGCTTTGGAAGCCACAGTCTCTAAAATAGTGGAGTTGAAATAGATGATCACCCCTGAACCCATCTTTCTAATGAACTAAAATGCTCCAAGTGTATCAGTAAACCATAGAAAGATACTTCATGGTATTTTTCATGTATCATTTCTCTTCTGAAAATCTACAATTGGCCTAAGATTGTTTTATTCTTTCAACTTAAAATTCCATCCCCGGACCACGCAGGCTAACGTCTGTAATCCCAGCACTTTGGGAGGCCAAGGTGAGTTGATCACTCAGGAGTTCGAGACCAACCTGGGCAATATGGCAAAACTTCGTCTCTACAAAAAATACAAAAATTAGCCAGGCATAGTGGTGCGTGCTTATGGTCCCAGCTACTCGGGAGGCTGAAATAGGAGGATGGCTTGAACCGGGGAAAAGGAGGTTGCAGTAAGCCATCACTGAGCCACTGCACTCTAGCCTGGGTGAGAGAGCAAGACTATGTTTAAAAAAAAAAAAATCCATTCCTTTATCTAATTATTTTAACCTTCTACTGCATTTAAAATTGCAAATACGTTAGTGATTTTGAAAAGTTTGAAAAAGTGGAATATAAGTGCAATAGGCAGGAATGTCTTGTTTAACAAAACTTCTATTAAAATATACTGCATTCCTTATTTTGGTCATTCTGAGCTCCAGATTCTTGACTAGTTAAAAGAGCAGCAGTTACATCTGAGATCTGTATCAGGGCACATGAACCACCCCATCCCCAGGTCCACTCAAGTCTACCAGCAGAGAGCAAGGTTGCAACCATCTTCTTCTCTCTTGGGAAAGTTGTCATCATTTTCTCAAATTGCCTTCCACCTTCCATGCTGTCTTCCTTAGGGCAAAACTGACATAGGAGACAGTGTTGGGGAAGGTATGTTCTTGCTCTGTTTTCTTCAAAGTGCTACCCACCAGCAATCTAGAACTCAATTCCTCAGCATCCAGGGCTATGGAAACCAAGTTACACAAGACACTGAGGGTCTGTTTTCTGTTTTGATGAGCTCTCATTCCCAAAGACTGTGATCTGTATCTCACCCTTTTTCCATTAGGCAAAGCCAAGCTGACTCTAAGCAACATGAGGCCAGGGTATGCATCTTCTAGCCCAGTTCCTGGCACACATTAGGACCTCAATTATATTTACTAAATGAAAAGCAATGTCTTGAAAAGGGGGGAAGGTGGAGGTCAACATAGGAAGGCAAGTTAGGTGACAAGGAAATACAATGGCCCATCAGACACTAAACAAGCTGACAAACCAAGCAGCACATCAATGAGGAAATGCAATCAACACAGATGGGAGGCCAAAGGGAAAAAGCAAGGGACTGGCAAAGAAGGATCACAGATAGAGTGTGGGCTAGGTGAAGTGGCTCACACCTGTAATCCCAGCACTTTGGGAGGCCAAGGCAGGAGGATCATTTGAAGCCAGAAGTTCAAGGCCGGCCAGAGAAACATAGTGAGAACCTGTCTCTACAAAAATTAAAATTAAAATTAGCCAGGAGTGGTGGTGCATGCCTGCAGTCCCAGCAGCTCAGGAGGCTGAGGTGGGATGATTGCTTGCCCCAGGAGTTCGAGGCTGCAGTGAGCTATGATCATGCCACTGCACTCCAGCCCCTGGGTGACAAAGCAAGACCCTCTAAAAAAAGGGGAGGGGGGTGGACAACAAAGTATGATCATGCAGAAAGCTTGATTCAAGAACAGATTTTGTGATTTTCAGATTCTAGCACTGAAGTTATCCTGTTACTATGATTTGGCCGTATCCTCCTGGACTAGAGCCTTAAAGCCATAGGTTTTCCCCAAGGCTCTCTCCATTTTTTTTTTTTTCTAGGCGGAGTCTTGCTTTGTCACCAGACTGGAGCGCAGTGGCGCGATCTCGGCTCACTGCAACCTCCGCCTCCCAGGTTCAAGCAATTCTCCTGCCTCAGCCTCCCGAGTAGCTGGGACTACAGGCGAGCGCCACCATGCCCAGCTAATTTTTGTATTTTTAGTAGAGACGGGATTTCACCATGTTGGCTAGGATGGTTTCGATCTCCTGACCTCATGATCTGCCCGCCTCGGCCTCCCAAAGTGCTGGGATTACAGGCGTGGGCCACAGTGCCCAGCCGGCTCTGTCCATTCTTTTGGTCCTCCGAGGAAAATGCAGCATCATCCATGGCCAAACATCAGTGATTGACTGGCCACACCTCCCCTTTTGTTCTTAGATCTTTCACTGGGGACAATAACCAAGCTGGCAATTGTACACTTTTAACTACCTTTCCAGAGCAGTAACACCCTCGGTTTGACTACTACGTCTATCCAGTCTGTTTTACATAATTTCCAGGGTCTTTGTTGATGGTGTCTCACTGTTCAATTTCTGCTGTTTAAGTCCCACAATCCCCTGTGTCTTTGTTCTCCATTTGGTGGTAGTGACTTCTTATGTACTTGGGACACAGGCAATAGCAGGACGGACTTACTACCAGCAAAGCCTCCCACCGGAAAACAAGGAAGCTCTTTCTCAATTGTCTTTTCCTATTTTCATGTCTGATAGTGATTAAAGCTTCTATGTCCATTAAAAAGTGTCTTCTGGTGCAGAATAACCTCATAGTAACATAATGATCACCCATTACACAAGAGTGACACTTTGGTAGCAAAATGTTATGGGATCTTTGGGGT
Source organism: Homo sapiens (assembly GCF_000001405.40). Classification (NCBI taxonomy): domain Eukaryota; kingdom Metazoa; phylum Chordata; class Mammalia; order Primates; family Hominidae; genus Homo; species Homo sapiens. The sequence continues at coordinate 17,021,624 of NC_000008.11, read as the reverse complement.
GTTGTTTTCCTGTCCAGAAACCTCTGTGGCCAGTGGTTCCTTTGCCTGAGTTTTGATTGGGCCCGCTGGGCTTAGCAGTGTCTACTGAAGCTGGACATATGCATATCCTATGACCCATTAATTTCACTTTTTAGGTGAAAGACTCATGAAAAGAAATGAGTACTTATGTCCATCAAAAGACATATACAGGAGGCTGGGCACAGTGGGTGGCTCATGCCTGTAATCCCAGCACTTTGAGAGGCCAAGGCGGGCAGATCACGAGGTCAGGAGATCGAGACCATCCTGGCTAACACGGTGAAACCCCATCTCTACTAAAATTACAAAAAAATTAGCTGGCTGTGGTGGTGGGCACCTGTAGTCCCAGCTAATCGGGAGGCTGAGGCAGGAGAATGGCATGAACCCGGGAAGCGGAGCTAGCAGTGAGCCGAGATCGCGCCACTGCACTCCAGCCTGGGTGACAGAGTGAGACTCCATCTCAAAAAAAAAAAAAAAAAAAAAGACATATAGAGGAATATTCATAGTAGCATCATTTCTAATTGGCAACAAACCAGAAACTATTCATATGTTCATCAACAGTGGCTTGGATTATTTAAAAATGTGGCATATTCACATAATGAAATGATATAAAGCAATGAAAATTACTGAATTGCAACTACATGCAATCACTGGGATAAATTTTAAAGCAAAAGTGAGGTAAAGAAGGCAGACACAAAAGAACCAACTTTATTACTCTATTTTAAAAGCTCAACAACAACAACAACAACAAATAGATATAAATAACATTAGACATTAGGATGGTGGTCTCCCTGGGTGCAGGGAAGTGATTAGAAGGCAGAAAAAGGAGCTTTGGGAGTTCTGTGTCTTGATATGGGTGCCAATGACACGTGTATTTACTCTATAAATATTCGTAGAGCTGTCCAGTTATAATTTCTATAACATTTTTATATACGTAACACTTCAATAAAAAGTTTATATAGAAGAAAACATAGATTTTCTTCCTAATGCTCTTATACTAATGTGTTATTTACTAGAGGACTTTGCTCAGTTATGAACTATACAACTTTAAAGGAATGTGTAGAGCTTGAAAAGAGTTCAACTAAGAACAATAAAATTGATTGAAGAATTGGAAACTAAAGGAAAAGTTTAGCTTATATAAGCTTGATATAGCCTGAGAAGATTTAACCAAGGAGTATTTTAATAAACATCTTTTACTACTTGAAGACTACTAAGAAGATACTATTAGTGATTTTTCGTATTTATTAAGGAAAAGACCAAAAGGAACTTTGTATTTTAAGCAAACAATGTAGTGTTTTAACTTCTTTAACTTGCAGCATTTTCTCCTCTGAAGCGTCCATATGGACAGAGCCAGTGGGTATGTGATCGTAAGGCCTAGTGCAACCAGTACATACCCTTGGTTCTGGCTCTAACCCCCGACTGTCAGGTGTTGGATGGGGAAATTGCTTCAGGAGCAGATAAACAAATAGAAGGGCAGTCTTCAGAACAGATGGAAAGCTCAGAATAAAGAGGGAGCCATTAGAGACATCAAGAATAGCATAAGGTTAGTCAGTGTACATACCTGCAGAAGTTTAGTGGGATGGCAACCAGTTTCATCCCCTGCCAACTTCAGTTGATTGATATTGGTTGTCCAGAACACTGTGCTAAGTAAAATTATCAGGCCAGGCCCAGAAATCACAGGAAAAAGTAGGTCAGTATCTCTGCTAAGACTGGGCTATCAGATTGGGACTGAGTTGAGTTAGTTGTAAGTCCACCGTGGTTCTTTGGAAACGCTCTACTAGGAGAAGATAATGCAAACAACAGTAGGAACAGAACAGCTGAAAAAAAAGTTCAAATGTTTTTGTAATATGCATGGCAACATTTAATATTTACCCTATAAAGTTATAGAAGACCAAAAATAATTTAGAGATAGCTCAGTCTGGGAATTTTCTAATCTTTCTAAGTTTTTGTTGGGGGGTGGTGGGCGTGGGGTGGGGAGGGGAGTGCTTAGTGAAAACTGTTTGCCAAAAGAAGTCTTGTTTCTTAAGCCCCAAAACACAAAGTAGATAACAGCAGAGTGTCTGTAGTGGAAAAGGAGGGAAATCCGGACCTTGTCCATTTAAAGATTCCTTTTCAGCTCTCACAGTGGAGCCTGAAGTAACTTTGTAGACTACTGGGGCTTAAATACCACTGAAATATACACTCGTTCCATTTTTACTGACTGACGAGGAAACTGAGAGGCTGCCAGGTTAAAGGATTTTCTTTGAGTTATACTACCAGAAATTGAGCCTAGATATTCTGCCCTACATCTAGATAGTTCCTGCATTACAATCATCAGAAACTGACGGAATTTAAAACCGTTTTTCTTAAGGCATATTAATTTCCAAGGAATCAAATAGCAATTGCATTAGCTCAAGTAAAAGACACATTTTAAGGATAAAATTATAGAGAATCCAGAGAAAAGTGGTACTATGAGGTGTCAGGAAGTGTGGTAACCGGGTCAGCTCTAGGGACCTACATCATAAGAGCTCAAGGACATTCATTCTAGCACACTGCTGTGAGCATGACTTGGCTACTAATTCTACCAATCTCTATGAATCTTAATGCAAATCCTAAAGAGAAAGCATTAGGTTGGTCTGGCCTATAGACGTTTTCTTCCTTTGTTAGTTTTTCACTCCTAGGCCAGCCAGCTGTGTCTGGGAGGAAAGGTGTGGAGTCATATGGAGATGCAGTTTCTGGGAAAGGGAGAACAACTTCCCTTAGAAGGCCCTGTGGGCAGGTATCAGTGATGTGCTGGTAAGGTGTTAACAATGGGTTCTGGGGTAGAAGAGGTGGGGAGTTCTGACTTGTAGTGTTTTCAGATTTCCATGGCGTAAATACTCCCACCGTGGTGATTTCAGGCTACCAATACGACATTACTGATTGCAGATTGGGAAGAGATGCATGGTAGCACATTACGTGGAATTTCCACTATCTACATCATATAAAAGATATAATGGTAAAGTAAAAGTGATGTTTTTAGTGCTTATTACATTTTATATTTACCTAATAAATATAAATTATATTACGTTTAATATAATTATCTAATTGTAAGTTTACATAATTTAATTTTTAATAAAGTCTCTAATAACTGGCTCAAAAATTCCTGAAAATTTAACTATCAGCTCTAGTGAGTTAGTGCAAGCTGGCTCCAGCCCACCAATATGGTATTTAAACATCACCATCTCCACTTGAGTTTGGAGGCTCTTGAAGACCGCTTTTGACATAAGAAAAGGACAGGGTGAGTGGGACATATGACTAAGCCAAAAAAGATTAGGATTAAGAATTTGCATTTATGGAAGCATCACTTGCACCCAGGAGTTCAAGGTTCCAGTGAGCTATGTTCACATCACTGCACTCCAGCCTGAGTGGCAGAGTGACACTCTGTCTCCAAAAAAGAGTAAAAATAAAAATAACAATATGCCGGGCAAAGTGGCTCACACCTGTAATCCCAGCACTTTGGGAGGCCGAGGCAGGGAGATCGCTTGGGCCCAGGAGTTCGAGACCAGCCTGGGAAACATAGCGAAACCTGGTCTCTACAAAAAAAAAAAGAAATTAGTAGGGCCTGGTAGTGTGTCCCTGTAGTCCTAGCTACTCCAGAGGATAAGGCCAAAGGATCTCTTGAACCTTGGAGGCAGAGCCTGCAGTGAGCCAATATTGCGTCAATGCACTCCAGTGTGGGCAACAGAGCCAGACCCTGTCTCAAAAACTAAAAAATAAATAAAAATAAAAATAATCAAGAATTTGCCTTTAGCCACAAAGGGCAAAATGAATTTAGCCCTCCTTTAATGAAGAGGAGGGAAACAATGTTTCTCACCCTCCCATGATTGTTAATTGGTTTCAATCAGTGTATATGCAGTTACCACTATGGAATTATTTCTACTCTCTCAAATTAATTGTATTTGTTGTTCCAAAGACTTGGAATTAAGGAATCATCTCAGGTCTGTAGATACTGGACAGGTACAACTAACTACTCAGATGAGGTAGGCATTATTCTTGAGCTGAGTTTGTAGGTATTCAGTTAAAAAGATGGGCTTTTAACAGCTGATATCCAGTAGGGACCAGCTCTCATTTGATATTGCCAGGTAATGAAGTCTTGCTTTAGGTTAAGGTCAATTTTTAGGCTTGATCAAAATATATGATTTCAAATTCACAAGCATATAATACATCTAATCAATTCTTGTATTTATTATACTTAAATTTCATATTTTGTCCACATGAAGGTATTCATTCTTAAGCCAAAGTAATTATTGAGTGTTTAGGTCAGTATGCAATATATTTTTCTTTTAAAATAAATTAGTTTGCCTCAAACACTAGAGACTGATCTAAAAGCGAGTCTGAAAATAGGAGAGTTCATAAATTCCTTGGCAACTGAAGCATATCAAAACTCTTGCACTTCAAAAATGATTGCAGATATTTTTCAGGATGATCTCAAATCTTATGTTCGGGAACCTGCAAACCTCGGACCACCACATCAAGGGAAATGAAGTGAACCTTTCACTTGATGACAAGACTTTGTAGAAAACCACTAAATTAGCTACTCTAACATCATCATGCAGGTGCATGGGTCTCCTTGAACAAATTATTCCAGAGTAAGATGGCCTATTCCTCCATCATTCCAGTGTTATACCAGGAAACCAGGTTTGATTAGGATTTCATTGTGTGTAGCATAGTATTTGTTTCAGGGCATATGCTTTGATCAAAATCTATGTAATGAAGACGTATACTCCATGATATCTAGAATTAATCATTGAACTATGTCTATGGCTAAACACAAATGTTACACTCATTTACTTATTAAACACCTATTTGCCTGTGAAGAGTTTGTCTCTAAAAGTGAATTTTAAATATAGAAGAACACCAAACAATAATAAAACCAGTATATAAAACTCGAGGTTATTGTCCAAATCAGGTGCTTTTTTAAACTGAAAAGTAAACAAATGAAGAAGGAAGAGCTGAAAGATGCACTAATAGAACACTTCATTATTTTAAGTCCTACGAAAGTAGAAACACATGAGAAATGAATTTCAGCATATGGTGTGAATGCTCCTTTGTTATTACTTCCAGTCTGTATATTAAAATTCAGTTTTCTTCTAATCTTTCTTCAATAATTATGAAGGATTGAGATGACTGTCAACCAGAAAAGGCAACCAGGCAGTTGAAGATGTGAAACTATAGCCTTGGGAGAGAGGTCTTAAATGTGGTAACTGACTACTGCATGGAGTCCTGTATTGGAATTTAAATGAGTTTCAAACGTGAGATTAGTAAAAAGGAAAAACTTTGCTTTGAAAGTTCACATATGCAGTAAATAGATTATGTTAGAGTCAAAAAAGTATAAATTACATAGTGTTTATATCATAATGATTAGGAACTTGCAGATGTATCTACAGAAATACATGTTAGGATTAAGAGAACTTTGGAAATTGAAAAGTCATGTATCTATAAAAGTATTCTATCTGGATATCTGTTTTGATAAAATCAGCCAAATATCAAATCAATATAGAAGTCCCATAATTTGAACCCTCCTTATCTTCTTTAAAGCTCTGATTTTAAGGGTAGGAGAATTTAAGTAATTTGAAGAGACAGGCTTGTGAAAATTAGTCTACAAAGAAAAGTTATTGAATTCTCTTTTCCTATTAAATTTTCTCTTCAAATTTGGAGAGACAATCACAGTGTGTTAGACTGAATGGAACCACAGAGATAATCTAATCTAAGGACTGTGTTTTAGGGAGGAGGAAACAAGAATGAATCGTGTCTTGCCATGGGAAATGTCCTGATCTGTTTCCTGTCTGTTTCCCACCCTTTTTCTGGCACTCCCTAACAGAACTCAGCTAAGGTATAACTTTTCCCAAAATGCCTCACCTTTCCCAAGGCTGGGTTAGCACATGTTGCTGCCTATGTTTTATTTATTTATTTAACTTATTTTAAGTTCAGGGGCACATGTGCAGGTTTGTTACATAGGTAAATTTGTGTCATGGAGGTTTGTTGTGCAGATTATTTCATCACCCAGGTATTAAGCCTAGTACCTGTTAGTTATTTTTTCTGATCCTCTCCCTCCTCCCACCCTCCACCCTTTGACAGGCCCCAGTGTGTGTTGTTCCTCTCAATGAGTCCATGTGTTCTCATCGTTTAGCTCCTACTTATAAGTGAGAACGTGTGGTATTTGATTTTGTGTTCCTGCGTTAGTTTGCTAAGGATAATGGCCTCCACCCTCATCAGTTTCCCTCTGCAAAGGACATGATCTCATTCTTTTTATGGCTGCATAGTATTCCATGGTGTATATGTACCACATTTTCTTCATCCAGTCTATCATTGATGGGGGAAAAATTTTGCAAACTGTGTATCCAACAAAGGTCTAATATACAGCATCTATAAGGAACTTGAGCAAATTTACAAGAAAAAAACAACCCCATTAAAAAGAAGACATGGGCCGGGCACAGTGGTTCACACCTGTAATCCTAGCACTTTGGGAGACCGAGGCAGGTGGATCACCTGAGGTCGGGAGTTTGAGATTACCCTGGTCAACATGGTGAAACTCCGTCTCTACTAAAAATACCAAAATTACCTGCGCCTGGTGGTGCGTGCCTATAATCCCAGCTACTCCGGAGGGTAAGGCAGGAGAATTGCTTGAACCAGGGAGACAGGTTGCAGTGAGCCGAGATAGCGCCATTGCACTCCAGCCTTGCTGACAAGAGCAAAACTCCGTCTCAAAAAAATAATAATAAAATTAAATTAAAATTATAAATAAATAAATAAATAAATAAATAAGAAGACATATGGCCAAGTGCGGTGGCTCATGCCTGTAATCCGAGCACTTTTGGAGTCCAAGCCTTGCGGATCATCTGAGGTCAGGAGTACAAGAGCAGCCTGGCCAACATGGCGAAACCCCGTCTCTACTGAAAATAGAAAAGTGAGCTGGGCCTGATGGTGGGCTCCTGTAATCCCAGCTACTCGGGAGGCTGACGCAGGAGAATTGCTTGAACCCAGTAGGCGGAGGTTGCAGTGAGCTGAGACCACGCCATTGCATTCCAGCCTGGGCAACAAAAGTGAAACTCCACTTAAAAAAAAAAAAGAAGAAAGAAAGAAAGAAAGAAAAAGACATACATGCAACCAACAATCATATGAAAAAAAGTTCAACATCACTGATCTTTAGAGAAAGGCAAATCAAAACCACAATGAGATACCATCTCACACCAGTCAGACTGGCTATTATCAAAAAGTCGAACTAGATGCTGGTGAGGTTGCGGAGAAAAAGGAACACTTATGCACTGTCGGTTTGAGTGTGAATTAGTTTTTGGAAGACAGTGTGGCAATTCCTCAAAGACTTTAAAACAGAAATACCATTAGACCCAGCAAGCTCATTACTGGGTATATACCCAAAGGAATAGAAACTGTTTTATTATAAAGACATGTGTATGAACACTGTAGCATTATTCACAATAGCTGCTACCTACTTTTAATAAAGCACCTTGAACTCCCCCAATCATAGCACTACAACTCGAATGTAATGTGTTCCTTTACTTGCTTGTCTCCACCAGATGGACTACAAGCTTCAGGAGGACAGAAATCATATTTGCCTTTTAATGAACACAGACATTTCCTTTGGTGTAGTACAAACTTACATATTTTTTGGATGAATGACAAATACAGCACTTGTTTTTGTAAAATTACTGAGAATCCATGCAAATTTAACCTGAATAGAAGTTCTTTCTTCAGGATAATGGAGCTATGGATTGAACTGTTGTTCAAAATTCAGAAACTCAAGTCAATCATCTACTAGATCAAAAAAAGATTGCCCTGCAAAATACATTTCTATTGTAATCGCTCATTAGAAATACTTACCATGTATTAGGTAACTTTGAGGAAATAATAGCAGATCTGAGTTTACTGAAGTCAGTCATAAAAGGCTGCTGTCTGAACCTTTCATCTGTTATTTTAAAAAATTCAGAGGTTATTTGCTGATGTGATTGTGTGTTTTTGTTGTTGATTCTGATAAAATGCAGTTTTATAGGTGACGCAGTTCTCATAGAAGAGCTTCTCTTTTTACTTGTTTTGTATAACAGCAAGCTACTCAAAATCCAGTTCCTTGCCATTTCATTTACTTGACTCAGCTCCTTGTCCTTAAACTCGTTTCACAATTTCATTGCCAGCTAGAAACTTATAAGCCTTGTTCGCAGGAAGAGCTTGAGTCAAATATTTTCAGCGTCAACACTTCCGCGGTATCCTGACAGCTGCACAGTATCTGTTGAGCCGCTCTCTACTCCTCCTCAAGACTTTGACATTTTCACAATTTTTCTGTGATTTTTATCTTCACTAACGACCTGCTCATGATAATTGTGCTGTCTTTCTTTTTTTCATTTTTGGAAGTGATAGTTGCATGAGGAATTTACCAATAGTGTGACTAGAAGCTGGAGAAGTGAAACTTAGAAGCATTCATTCCTGCGTATCAAGGTTCCTCTTGGCCTTATCAAGGGTTTGGCAGCGTATGTGACCACATCGTCCTCTAGTGGCTGACCCCATAAGAGGCCGGTGGCCGCTCCCCCTCTGCGGCAGAGAATGTTCTTTCAGTGCATGGCTTTATGACTAGAGGTTGTTATTTTTAAGGTAAAGGATATTTTTCTTAGTAAGCGCCTGTTTTCTAACAATCAAGTTACATTTTATGTCTTCAAACAAACATCCTATGACTTAGAACTATCCTTAGTTGGAGTAAATATAAACATTAATTCAAGAAATCAAAGCAAATATTTCAGATATCTGAAACAGTCTTAAGGAGCATATCGATCAATCAACAGATACTTATCAGGTAGGTAAAATATGCCAGGCACTGTTGTAGGTGCTTGATGTACATTAAAAACCAAAATTGATGAAGATCCCTGCCTGCATGGAGCTTCATTCTAGTATGAGGACTTCACGAATGAATGTGTGTTTCTCCCAGGCTATCCTCAAACCAGACTCCTTGTAAATGTGACATATTTCAATAGTCATATTCTGTGTTCTGTAAACTGTATTCTGAATATTCAGTAAGTCATGTAATTGTTTTTGTCTTATCTGCTCCAGACCCCCTTCAGGGCAAGTAGGAGGTGACTGGCAACACATCACATATTAAGCTGGTGGCAACACATTGCATATTAATCACGTATTAATAATCACATATGAATCACATATCAATCATGCCTTGTCATTCAGAAGTGTTATACAGCTCCCATGCACTAGTGTTTCCTACTGCAGAGTGATCATTATACAAAGCTATTTATGTCTTCTAAAATGGTGTGCCAAAATTTAAGAAATGCCCTTTTTAGTCCTTTCTCTATTTCTCTTCTCCCAGTTCACCTCCCTATGGGGATGGAGGTTTATTTTTACTCCTCCAGCTGTCATTTGGGTAAACTCTGGAGGGGCAGATCTTGCCTAAGGCTAGATTTCAGTTCAACATAAACAGGACTAATTACCTCAGGCCTCTAGTTAGGACACAGAAATGGGTAAATAAGGCTTTAGTTACCACCATCACTTTGCTTGAGAGAATGAAATTTCAAGGTAGTTTAATAAATCATGATGCCATTTTCTGACTTTTAAAGAGAATGTAATTTGTCTATATTTTTTATCTTACCATAGATTAAACATTTGTATCTCCATTCCTGTAATGGTATTTTTTTATTTCTAGCGAATTCTAAGGAGAGACAATGAACAAATACATTAATTGCATAAATCTACTGACTTCTTAAATTTTATATTAGATTTTTTTTCTTTTTTTTTTTTTTTTACACAGGGTCTTACTCTGTGGCCCAGGCTGGAGTGCAGTGGCACTGCGATCTCGGCTCACTGCAGGCTCAACCTTCCAGGCTCAAGCCATCCTCCCACCTCTACCACCATGTAGCTGGGACTACAAGCGTGAGCCACCATGCCTAGGTAATTTTTGTATTTTTTGTAGAGATGGGGTTTCATCTTGTTGCTCAGGCTTGTCTTGAATTCCTGGGCTACAGAGATCCTCCCACCTCGGCCTCCCAAAATGTTGGGGTTACAGGTGTGAGCAACCATACCTCACCATGAATAGATTCTTTATAAGAGTACAATTTTAAAAAATCAGAGTTTTGATGGCAATTATATGCCCTTAGAAAGGGCACTTTAGCTGATTTTTTAAAAATTTTAACCTCCACAGCACTGCCAGAGCTGAATATTGATTATTTAATTTTTAAATTCTTATTAAAAAAACACTCCTCTCATGTTTACACTGCCATTATCTTTTAGAAGAATACAGCACATTTAATTTAAAATACTGTTTATTTGAAAATGGAAAAATTAAGAACAAAGAGGCTTAATAACATTATGGATACATTCTGGGATTCTGGGAACAACCAAGTATAGTAATGCATATGAACAGTGATGTCAATTTGAACCACATTTTTTTAGGTATACTTCATTTGCTCTAGAGAATCAATGTTTATTACTATTTGGATATTTGCAGCATAATTTGGTGAGAATACCATTGGAATTAGATGTGAAATATTTTAATTTCAATTATGATTTTCCCATTAACTAGGTGAGATTAATCCAAAAGCCATCTTCCTCATCTGTAAAATGAAGGTGTTTGGTTAAGGTGATCTGGCAAGTTTCTTTTATACAATGAAAAAAATATAAAATACTTACACCATGTAATTTTATGATATATTTAAATGATAATAACAGAAGATCATATGTAACACTAATGAATGAATATATAGGAATATGTAACACTAATGAATATATTTAGCCAGGTGCTGTAAAATAGGCTACTTCCAAAATAGCTTGTTTATTTTAGAAGTATATTTACTTCCTTCATATCCATCTCAAAATACTACTTTAACGTTTAACGTTTCACTGTAGGAAGCATAAAAATTATTTTTTCTGTACTCCAAATAAAGAGCATTGCTAATTTTGATGATGCTATAATTCCTCAAATCATTTTTACCTTTTTGCTTCCTGGAGCAGAACAATGAAATTTTAAGTGAGCTAAAACCCAGGGAAAATTGATAATGATTATCACCATTAAAATCATCACTTAAATGTTGTAGCACCAATGGATTTTCATACCCATTTATCAGTGTAATTTCTATATCACGTTTGCAAGTTGGATAGACCACATGTTGTTATCCTAATTTTGGAGGAAAAACCTGAGTTCCAAGAAGGTGGTGCAATTTTCCCAAGGTCTCATAACTAGTGAGTATCAATATTCTGCTTATACCTAGCAAGGTGAGAAGGGAAAAAAATGCAAGGTAACAACATCAAATTATGTGTTATGAGTCTTTCTTGTTCTTTGTGGGGGATAAAATGCAGAGTGGGGCTGGATTAGAGTCGCTGCCATTCCTGAAATAAGCAAATAATAACCAAGATGTTCAATTTCTGCCAAATTTTCATCCTGCCTGAATGTGATCCCCCAAATTGTGTGACCTCATGGTCAATTAATATTCCTCTTTTCATGTGTACTCAATACTTCCCATGGAAAATACCCAACCTGTTCTGGTTAAGATGTGGGCTTTTGTGCAGATTGCAACTCTTCTATGCGAGTCGTTCAAATTCAGGAACTCTGACATCACAATTATCTTAAAGAATAGCTGTTGAATTTAGATTTTCTCTCCTATATTAAAGTGCATCTAATATCGGTTATGACCTTAAAAATGGACATAAAACTTTTGATATAATTCCATATTTACAAAAAAGTTACAAGTATAGTGCAAAGAACTCCACATACCCTATACTCAAATTCTTCAATTATTAACATTTTCTTTTCTTTTCTCTTCTCTTCTCTTCTCTTCTCTTTTCTTTTCTTTCTTCTTTTCTTTTCTTTTGTTTTCGTTTTTAAAGTTAGGATCTTGCTATGTCACCCCGGTGAGAGTGCAGTGGCACAATCATAGGTCACTGCAGGCTTGCACCCCTGGGCTCAAGTGATTCTTCCACCTCAGCCTCCAAGTCCTGGCTAACATTTTTTTTTTTAATTTGTTTTTGTAGAGACAAGGCCTCATTGTGTCACTCAGGTTGGTTTCAAATTCCTGGCCTCAAGTGATCCTCACACCTTGGCCTCCCAAATTGCTGGAATTACAGGCGTGAGCCACCGTGCCCCGCCAGTTGTTAACATTTCACTCCATCAGCTTGATCATTTGCTCTCTCTCTCTCTCTCTCTCTCTCTCTGTCTGTCTCTTGTTCTGTAAGTTTATATATATATATATATATATATATATATATATATATATATAGTTTCTGAATGATTCAAGAATAATTTTGCAGACATCATGCCTCTTTATCCATAAAGTCTTATTTTGTATTTCTTAAGACTTTCCCTTACGTAACCACAGTTCAATTATCAAAATTTGGAATTTTAACAATGATATAATACTATTACCTTTTTTTTGACTTTTATTTTAGGTTCAAGGGCACAAGGGCAAGTTTGTTATATAGGTAAATGGCATGTCATGGCGGTTTGGTGTGCAGATTATTTCATCACCCAGGTAATAAGCATAGTACGTGATAGGTAGATTTTTGATCCTCTCCTTCCTCCCCATCTCCACCCTCAAGTAGGTGCCTGTGTCTGCTCTTCCCTTCTTTATGTCCGTGTGTACTCAGTAAAAAGCTGAGTATTTGCTTTCAGTATTTGGTTTACTGTTCCTGAATTAGTATTTGGTTCCTGCATTCAATATTTGGTTTACCGTTCCTGCATTAGTTTAGGATTATGGCCTTCTGCTCCATCAATGTTGCTGCAGAGGACATGATCTGATTCTGTTTTATGGCTGCATAGTATTCCATTGTGTATATATACCATATTTTCTTTATTCAGTCTATCATTGACGGGCATTTAGGTTGATTCCATTACTTTGCTATTGTGAATAGTGCTACAGTGAACATACATATGAATGTGTCTTTATTTTAGAAATATTTATATTCCTTTGGCTATATGACCAATAATGGGATTGCTGGGTCTAATGGCAGTTCTGTTTTAAGGTTTTTGAGAAATTGCCACACTGCTTTCCACAATGGCTGAACTAATTTACATTCTCACCAGCAATGTATAAGTGTTCCCTTTCCTCCACAACCTTGCCAGCATCTGTTATTTTTTTACCTTTTAATAACAGCCATTGTGACTGGTATGATGTGGTATCTCATTGTGGTTTTGATTTGCATTTCTCTAATGATTACTGATGCTGCATATTTTTTCATATGTTTATTGACCACATGAATGTCTTCTTTTGAAAAGTGTTCATATCTTTTGCTCAATTTTTTTTTTTTTTGAGATGGAGCCTCTCTCTCTCACCCAGGCTGGAGTGCGGTAGTGCGATCTTGACTCACTGTAACTTCCACCTCCTGGGTTCAAGTGATTCTCCTGCCTCAGCCTCCTGAGTAGCTGGGATTACAGGTGCACGCCACCATGCCCAGCTAATTTTTCTATTTTTAGTAGAGACGAGGTTTCACCATCTTGGGCAGGATGGTCTCGATCTCTTGACCTCGTGATCTGCCCACCTCGGCCTCCCAAAGTGCTGGCATTACAGGCATAAGCCACCGTGCCCATCATTTTTCTCACTTTTTCATGGGGTTTTTGTTTTTTGCTTGTTAATTTAAGTTCCTTATAGAGTCTGCATATTAGACCTTTGTGGATGGATAGTTTGCAAGTGTTTATCTTGTTCTACAGGTTGTCTGTTCACTCTGTTGTTAGTTTCTTTTGCTCTGCAGAAGCTCCTTAATTAGGTCCCATTTGTCAGTTTTTGTTTCTGTTGCAATTGCTTTTGGCATCTTCATCATGGAATCTTTGTCAGGTCCTATGTCTAGAATGGTATCTCCTACGTTATCTCCAGGGTTTTTATAGTTTCAGGTTTTACATTTAAGTTTTTGATCCATCTTGAATTGATTTTTGTATACGGTGTAAGGAAGGAGTCCAGCTTTAACCTTCTGCATATGGTTAGCCAATTATTGTAGCGCCATTTATTAGTACTATTTTCAAACTCACACTCCATATTCAAATGTTGCCAGTTGTTTCAATAATATTCTCTATCATTAGTATTGTTATTTTTTGGTTCAGGCTCCATACCAACATCATCTATCACATTTAGTTTTCATGTCACTTTACTTGCTTTTTTATTTTCTATTATTTGAAACAGAGTCTCGCTCTGTCACCCAGGCTGGAGAACAGCAGCTGGATCTTGGCTCACTGAAACCTTGGCTTCCCAGATTCAAGCGATTCTCCTGCCTCAGCCTCCTGAGTAGCTAAGATTACAGGCATGCACCATCATGTCTGCCTAATTTTTGTATTTTTAGTAGAGACAGGGTTTCACCATGTTGGCCAGGCTGGTCTCGAACTCCTGGGCTCAAGTGATCTGCCCGCCTCAGTCTCCGAAAGTGTTGGGATTACAGCCATGAGCCACCGTCCCTGGCCTTTAGTCATTTTTAAACTGGAACAGTTCTTCAACCTTCGTCTTTTTTGATTTTGACATTTTGGAAGAGCACAGCCAGTTGTAGAATGTCCCTCAATTGGGGTTTATCTGATGTTTCTTCATGATTAGATTCAGATTATGCATTTTTGGTAGGAACAACACGTAAGTGACATTGTATTCTTTGTAGAGTACGAAGAGGCATATGGGGTTGGCTTGTCCCATTACTGTTATTCACTTTTATTATGTGGTTAAGATAGTACTGTACTCACTAGATTAATTCACTATTAAGTTACTCTTTTCCCTTTGTAATAAAGATTCTTCTTCATCAAACTTTTATCCACAAGTTTTAGGATGCATTTATGTTTTTGTCTGGACCAGCAATGACCCTAGGATGGATGTAAAGTGGTCATTTTTCTAATTCCATCATTCTTTCAATATTTATTAGTTGGTATTCTGCCATGAGAAAAAGTTTTCCCTTCTCCCTTATTAACTTGTTTGATTGGTAGTTTGTGTACTTCAACAGTTGCACTCACATGTTCTTATTTATTTCATAAATAACTTGTTCCTATCATTATTTATTTTGATGCTCAAATTGTCCCAGATTTGGCTTATGTCCCCTGGACATGTCCTTATTCTTTTTTTTTTTTTTTTTTTTTTTAGTACTTCCTTGCCTTCTGGCACACAAAATAATGCCCCAGTCCTGGAACCAGACATTTCTCCAAGGTTCCATTGATCATTTTAGTAGGAGTTTGAATTGAGAAACCAAGGCTTAGATGCTAGATATGCTCATTGACTTGGGATATGTTTGCTTCTAGGCCCTTTTAGTGCACAGGGCTAAGATATGCACATACACATGAACATACACACACACACAGGCACCAAGTGTTAATACTGATAGCGGCAATTCCAATTTCACACTACAAGGTTCATTCCAGTCTTCCTTCTTTTCATATTAGAACTCTATTCTTTAATAATGAAACCCCTAGCTCTCATTAGCTTCAATATATTTATTCATTTGTTCAATTCTACAATACACTACTCTAACCCCTGCTACTGAGGAAAACAATCTTTCTCATTGAAGTTCAAGATTTGTTTATGTGGTTTTTCTTTAGATCTTGGTTATATCATCAAAAGACAGAATTTGATAGTTATTTGAGTTTCTTTCTTTCTTTTTTTTAATATGTTATTCATCCCTCATGTGTGGTTATATTACTCACTTTAATACAGTTAGGTTCATTTGTTCCTGCTTTTATTCCATCCCCACTTCTCTCTCATTTATTTTATTTTATTTTACTTTAAAAAAATGTAAAACATTAACATTTCTCCAAAAGTCAAAACTCTATAAAAAGTTCTCAGATGAATGTCACTCCTCCAACCCTTCCACTCCATTCATATCCATCCCCTGCTAACCAACTAACCAGGTAACCAAGTTCATTAATTTTTGGTTTATCCATTCTGTGTTTATTTTTAGAATAAATAAGCATATACATGTAGACGTTTCTCATTTTTTTCTTTCTTACAGAAAAGGCAGACACTATATATATTCTTTGCTGTTTTCACTTAACGGTGTATCCTGCAAATATTCCATGTTCGTTCACAGACATCTTTGTCAGCTGTATAATGCTCCATTGTGTGAATGTACCATAATTTATTCAGTTTCCTGTGTATAGAAATTTATGTTGTTGCTAATATTTTGTAATTATAAATAATGAATAATGTGCAAATATACTCTTACTTTATTGGAGATGTATATCATGACCATTAAATCAGCTCTATTTCTTTTTCTCATATTGAACACATGTAGCAGCCTCAAAAGGTATGAACTCCTCATGTGTAAAAACAAAGGTTCCTGACAATATATCATCTGAAAACCTATATAGGGATTATATAGTCTGGAAAACTCAAACTACATTTTGTGGAAGTAGAAGTTGTACCACGTATTTGTATAACAGCAAGGCAAGTGTGGTCTCTAGGAAGCATAGGTAAAGTTGATTAGATTGCAATGTATACTTAAAAGTTGAATAATGCACTCTTGTAAAACACTCTTCAAAATTATTTAACTTCCCATGATATCATCACAGCATGTGCAAAAAAAAAAAATCTTTAGTGTTATCTTTTCCTGTCACATGACTAGTGCAAACAAAAGAAATTCTTATCTTTTTGTTTCTAGTCTGGTCCTTTATAAAACAGCATTAAGCACCATTCAAACTTACACATTAAAGGTTTGGTTTGGGAAAAAAAGATTTATTTTGTATTTCAGACCAATTATATTTGTTAAGTTAGAAAGCAAAAATTTTCACAACAACTAGAGTTTTCTAGCATATTCTATGCATAGAAAACTATAGTTTTAAAACCATTTTCCAATATATTTTTACATTTAAGTCTCATGGCAACTCTAGGCATAGTAGTTAGGCTGGAGTTATATTATCCTTATTTTACAAAAGAGAAAATAAAAGCATTTAGAGAATTTAAGGAAATTGGCCTGGGATGTTGGACTCTGGGCAAAACGGGGATTTAGGACCATATTTTTTCGCTATAAAGCAGGATGTGCCTATGTCTTATGGTCATTGTGGTGATCAAATAAGGTAATACACATGTAAATACCAAGGTGTACAAAGAGAAGGCGATTCTATTATGAAAGTATTTAAACTTTCATGACTATGAATAAGAAATTCCCCATTTTTTGTATATATATAAGCAATACAACAGATTTGAACAGTCTAACAGCTATAGCTCATACAGCAGGACTAAAGTGTTCATGTGGGAAAATAGTTTGTAGACTGAACTAGTACTTTTAGAAGCAGGTGATGATAATATATTTCCATTGTGGAATAATTAACAGCATTATATGTTGCACAGAACTTGGACCTTGAAACAAACCTCATTAAAAGGCACTTGATCTAAGTTTAAAACCCTTAAGTATCTCCTCTTTAAAAGTGATCAGTGGATGTACTGGCTACTTCAGTTATCCTGCTACGAGATTCACACAACTTTGATCTAAGTTTCTTTGATTTAACACTGCAATTAAGAAGATTTGGTTCAAAGTAAAAGCTCATTGGTTGATGTTTTACACTGATGTGATAATGTTTACACAGATGTGTTTGAAACCTTGATTATGGTGGATTTGGGGTCCTACCACAAGACAGACTGCTGTTATTTGAAAGGTGAAATAATACAACATTTACCTGGTGCAACCTTTAAAACAGACTTAGCAATATACGTTTCTAAAGTGATTTATCTGTTTATTGTTTTTAGCCAGCGTTTTTGTTTTATTTCATATCTATCAACAGTAAATCACTTGCTTTAAGAACTCTTTTATAACTTGGTTACACAAGGGTCAGTAGTTAGGCCTGTAGTGATGAAAATGTGTAACTATACCCACTTTAGAGCACCTGCCAATTAATTAGAAAAAATCCTTCAGAGCAAATAAAATAAACCAGTCAAATCCAACTGAGCTGCCAGGCTTATGCTTTTTTTAAACAGATCATGAAACAAGACTGAGAAAGTAATCTTCATCAGTTCCCTAAAACTTTTTGCTCAGAGGAAGCATAAATCTGCCCAATGATTCTCAATTCTTCTACCACTGAAAAATTTTAACAGAAAGATCTTGAATTTAACTAGTGGTGCAAAACCAGTTTCAACGTTTAAATGAACATGTATCTAATTCCTTGGCTTCCATGGTTTTTGATTTTACAAATATGCTCAAGCACTCTTCAATTTTACCAGTAACTTTTGAAGTCTCAAAACACATCAAGCCTCAAGACTATTTCCATTTAGTTATTTTTAGATTTTATAATTAAAATGTAAACAAAAACATCTAGCTTTTAGAAAAACGCAACTAAGAAAAACAGGAAAGTGCTCTTAGATTGTATAAGGGCCCAAGAAGCCACTCATCATTTATGACAATATTCCAGATATTCATTTTCTATTCACGGCAAAATATAGAGATGCAAATCATTTCTTTCCAGCCTATTTGGATTTACTGTAAATCCTTTGATTCGTGATTATATTTTGCTTTATTTTACACTAATTAGAAGTTCATGACCTTAGCACACAATTAAAAATACATATGTGTATTATGTATATATATATATGGCAATTTTGGTTATATTATGTGCTGAGTAAAGGTAAACATTAAAGAGAAATTGTAAAGAGGGGGAGGGAGGGTGTTCCTTACCTAACCTTGATTATGTAAAGAAAATCCCCCATCTAAATGATAAAAGAAAGGAGCAATGCTTGTACATTTTATTAGTGTTTTAAAATTAGTGAGTTAAACTGTCAAAGCTTTGATTTTTCTTTCATGTGTGTCTGGGCAGGTCTGTAAGCCCCAGGTAACGCCCTTTTTCCTTCTCCCTTGCTTACCTTTCTTTGCACCTGTCCACTGCAGGCTCCCAAGGAGTCCAATTCTCCTTTTCTCTTTCCTCCTCCTACCAATGCCCTCCTTCTCTTTCTCTCCCTCCCCGCCTTCCCTCCCTCCTCCCTTCCTCTTCTTCTATATCCCTGCCAAGTTGGGCTCCTTTTAGAGGCGATTTATCACTGCAAAGCTCACATCAAAGACGGTTGCACGGCCGCAGCTGAACAGCATCACCGCTGTCCCAAGGACAACCCCAAAGAGGGGCCTCGACTGCACCTCCTCGAAGTTGCTGGCTGGCTTTGGCCAAGTGCAGGAATGGTTTTTGTGAGGGCATGGATGGAGAAGTGCCAAGGGCCCCTTTTGGTCACTTCCGAAGAGCAAAAACGTGTTGAGAGGAGACCGGTTTAAGATTTCAAACAGAACCTCCCCAGCGCGCATGAAAGGACTTGATTAGCATATGTCAAGAGGACCCGCTTATATACTCGGTGTGTATGTACACAGGACTCTGATCTGATCAGTTTGCGGAATTGGAGCCCCAGCCAACAGCCCTAGTCCTAGTATTGGCAGCGGCAGCTATAGATATTTCTGCAGAGCCAGCAGCCGGCTCCCACCTACCCAAGGAGAGAAGATCGCTCCAAGACAGTGAGAGCTTCCCTGCCATTTCAGTGCAAAGTCCCTCCGGAGCGACCTCAGAGGAGTAACCGGGCCTTAACTTTTTGCGCTCGTTTTGCTATAATTTTTCTCTATCCACCTCCATCCCACCCCCACAACACTCTTTACTGGGGGGGTCTTTTGTGTTCCGGATCTCCCCCTCCATGGCTCCCTTAGCCGAAGTCGGGGGCTTTCTGGGCGGCCTGGAGGGCTTGGGCCAGCAGGTGGGTTCGCATTTCCTGTTGCCTCCTGCCGGGGAGCGGCCGCCGCTGCTGGGCGAGCGCAGGAGCGCGGCGGAGCGGAGCGCGCGCGGCGGGCCGGGGGCTGCGCAGCTGGCGCACCTGCACGGCATCCTGCGCCGCCGGCAGCTCTATTGCCGCACCGGCTTCCACCTGCAGATCCTGCCCGACGGCAGCGTGCAGGGCACCCGGCAGGACCACAGCCTCTTCGGTACGTACTAGCATCCCGACCCCACCCCCATCTGCGCCCCAGCTCGGCTCCTCGTTCCCTCCCCTTGCACCTCCCTCTTTGCCTGCCAAGGGCGTCATCGCCGCGCGGAGCCCGGAGCTCCCCTGGACCCATCCGGTGCAAGACGCAGGCTGGGGCTGAAGGGCTGGCCAGAGCAGCCGCGGGGAGAAATTTTCCTGCTGGTTTGTCGCCGCAGCCTCTAGCAGGGCAGCAGCTCCAGATGCTGGGGGCGGGAGGAGAAAGGGTGGGCGCTTCGCAAGCTCCTTCCTGCCTTCCCCTTGCCCTTCCCACTGCCGGGGACACCAAGACCTGGTGCACTCGGCATCACGGTTCTCGCACTGCTTACCTCGCAGTCAGTTTTAAAAAAAATCCCTGTATGTTTCTCTCCGATTTCCTTTCTCATTTTCCCCCATGCCGTCCACTTTACAAAAATTAATAACAGGAAGCGCCGGGCTTCTTTAAACATGCCCCACAGTTATGCAGCTGATTATGCACCCGGGGCTGCTCTGGGCATGGATTGCGAGCATTTACGTGTCTACCTAGAGACTTGCAAATGTTCACCTGAAGAGGTAGCAGATTAACTTTCCGTGGGCACATTCGCTACCTGTAGGGCTCACCTGTCTGAGGTTCCCTCAGCTCCTAAGTTCTATGTGGGTGAGAAAAGAAAAGGAAAGGGGGGGAGGGGTGGGGGAGGAGGAAGACCACCCGGCTACTGAGCATGCCTAGTTCTTCAGCCAAGCTCCTCTTTGGAAATTGTGCAACCTGAAAGCAAGTATCTTGGTATCGACTTTAGGAAAGAGGAAATGGGAAAGCGAAAGAAGATATGGGTGGGAACACAGACGGACGTGTTTCAGAATACCTCCGGCAGTGCCTGGGAAGAGAAGGGGTTAAAAGAAACAAGAGAATGATTGTTAAGGCAGTGTCTGTTAAGATACTAGATCGGGAGGGTCTCTCCTGTTAATGACTTCCTCACTAGCTGTGTAACTAGAAAGTGCCTTCATCAGTCTGAGGCTTAGTTTTCTGTACAAAGATGGGGTGCTCTCCGGTTCTAATATCCCAGGATCTTTCCCCATAGCTGAAGTTTCCATTCTATTAGTTAACCTGCTAGCAATGTCAAAGGATTTTGATTATCAAACTTTTGACATCATTGGAAAAATTCATTTTATTTTTAAAAAAGATACCATTAATTTGTCACCCACAATCCGTAGCGCTACGGAGTTCTTTGAGAATGCACCCCATCTCTGAATGGCCCTCTCTTATCGTGTCCTTACCCCCTTGTTCTTATAATTATTCCCTTTTTGACTTGTAGGACTCATTAAAACTTTGGAGAAGTGTAAATCTCAGTTTAAGGGGGCATTTGTAACTCTAGATGTAGAAATAAGCATGTGGTGGTCATTTGGTAGCACTTAAAGGCTTAGAAAATTAACTTTTTAAAACCCACATGTTTGCAGCTTCCACTGATCTCTTCCAAATTCCCATTGACTATCAGTCAAGACTGTCATGACCTAGTGGCCAACCTGGGGTCACTTTTAGAAAGTGGTTTTTAAATTGAGGAGGCTTGAGATTTTCTAACTTCTGGCCTCCGGCAATCTTTCCGCCTTGGCCTCCCAAAGTACTGGGATTACAGGCATGAGCCACTGTGCATGGCCCTGAGACTTCGATTCTGAAGAACTTTGCTGACACCAGGTGGCTCAGTTCTCTTGCCTTTAAGGATGACTTCACTGCGCTCATTACAGAAAAATATTCCAACTACCAGAAAGATTTAGAAATAAACACAAATGTGATAATACTTATAGGGAGAGCAGGCAGAAGTTAAGCTTAGGTAATAGTCAGAATTTCACCCTGCCATACACAGTGTAGCCTTGGAAATTCTACTTTTAAGAAACTTGGGGCTGGGCGCAGTGGCTCACGCCTGTAATCCCAGCGCTTTGGGAGGCCGAGGCGGGTGGATCATGAGGTCAGGAGTTCAAGACCAGCCTGGCCAAGATAGTGAAACCCCTCTCTACTAAAAATACAAAAAATACAAAAAAAAAAAAAAAATTAGCTGGGCGTGTTGGTGGGCACCTGTAATCCCAGCTATTTGGGAGGCTGAGGCAGAGAATTGCTTGAACCCGGGAGGCGCAGGTTGCAGTGAGCCAAGATCACACCACTGCACTCCAGCCTTGGCGACAGACCAAGACTCTGTCTCAAAAAAAAAAAAAAAAAAAAAAGGAAACTTGTAATTAAACTGTAATCTCTCCAGTGACAGAAAAAAAAAGGCCTCTTTTACTTTGTGTATGTTTATAAGACTGACCCTATGGGGAGAGATTAGTAAATATTTGTAGACTTGATAACATTCATTAATGGCATTTAACGGCATTTCTTTAGGAATGGAAGTTGAATATCAGAATTATCATCTTGCTCGCACATTTTGTTTTTGCGAAATTTGTGTTAATTATTTAGTAGCTGCAAAAAAATTGACAGATTGAATTTGTGCCAATGTAAGTCACTCTATGGTGGGAGACTATGTATAGGAACAAAATACTGTTAAACAAAAGGAAGATAACCCAGATTAGTCTGGGAGTGAATGGCCGCCTTGTGATGTATTGTAGTACATCCTAGCGGCCTTCAATATCATAGACATCATAACTTACTTTAAGAGAGTGCGGGTAAGAAGAAAGTTTATGTTCAAGCTATATAACATTATGTGCTTCTGTATGTTTGGCTTCTTTTGCTAGTACTTCAGTTACTAATTATTAAATTATTATGTTTTTTAAACTCCTATCTTTGCTATCAGAGTGACAGTTTTGAAAACTTAAGGATGGCTATTTGAGATGTTAAAGGAAATAACTTTTTTTTTTTTGCCAGTTTTATACTAATTTGGCCATGAGTTATCTCTGTATTTATGATGGAGTTTTCCTACACAGTAGTACACAGCAGGAACAGCTTACCTAATATGTAAACATGGAATCATTTCTGAAAAAAAAAAAGTTTAGCCTGAGATCAAACATATTTCTTTAAAGGCTTTTCCTTTATTCTCCCCTATTCTCCATAGATTTGTCTGATGTGGTTGCATTGTGGGTTGACTCACCTGTTTATTATGATTATTAAAAAGACTGGCTTTGAAGGTGATACCAGAAAGGCAAAGTACCTCCAAGTCTTTTTATGGGACACTGGGCATTAGAAAATCTATCTAAAATCTGTGATTACCTCTTAAGGAAAGTTTTTCATGTCTACTCTTTGTAAAGGAATTAGCTTAGTTGCTACCTCATATTATAAATAAGAAAGACTTGTCAAATCTCATTTAAGAATCAAATGATTACAAATTACTACGTGGTATACTATTTCCTCAAGGAGAAAAAGGATCAGAATTTAAAAGTGTGACTAAAATCTTTAAGAGGAACACACACACAAAACACATATCAGTCCCATGAGCCATTGCAAAATTATTTATACCTGGTTATGTATAAGGTTTTGGGTGTTGTTTACTAAAGTTAAAACTATTGCATATAATTATTCTAAGAACATAAATAACCTTTTGTCTTTCTACAGCTACATATTTTTTCGGCAAGCTGACAGCATTAAGATAAGAATTAAAGTGTAGGTGGTTTACCTCTGAGTTTTCCAAGAAAAATAAACACTTTATGAGATTTGTTATATAATTAGCTTATATGGACATTAAAGCCATATTTTATTGTAATTGAAAACTTGCTCTATTCTACATTCTAATCACTTAATCAGTTCCTGTTCTTTGAAAGACAAGAGAATCTTAATGTAAATCAGATACTTAAAGGGAATTAAGTTGCATTTCAACCACAGAACACTTTTTAATTTGAATGTAACATTCAATACAAAGTAATTATACATTTGTAATTATAGCCTGAATGAAGTTACATTAATATATATATTTTCTACCAATTATGTTTTGGGCCTATGTTTTTGTTTCCGGCAGGACTCTTTTGCTAATGAACTTGGCAGTGAGTTTGATTTTCCTTCACTCCCCACCTCTGTATTTGTCATTATGATGGCTGTCCTAAGCCTTCTTGCTGTATCTTATCTTCTCTCTGCCTTAGGCTTTCAATGAGGGATCCTGGCTCTTTCAAGCCACTTATAGACTATTTAGCAGTGTATTGTTGCTGTAAGATCCTTGATAGCTCTAGTGTTCTACATGATCTCCTAATAGTTTGAAAGAGCTCATTTGTCTTGCTAAGAATCTCTGTTTCTGACAAAGAGTGAATTAGGCTTTGGATAGAATAGAGCCCAGCATATCAGCAAATAGTCAGATTCTGTACTTTCCCTTGGCCTTGGGAGTATCACGTGTCCAAACAGGAACTTGTACAATAAATCAAGAAATGACTTAAGAGCAAGAGTCAGGCTAAAGGGTACACATTTATACTGTTTGTAGAGCTCAGGATGGGGTGAAGGGGTGAAGGTAGAATGCTATTGAGGAAGGCAGTGCCAAGCATAGAAAATACAGCTATGCTTTTTCAGCAGAGTTGAAGAGGGAAGAATGAGACAAAGGCATTAGTCCAAAGTTTAGTGTGTGCAGAAAAAAAAGGGTGATCCAGAGGGAGGTGTTAAGTTTTTCTTTTTTAAACTGTGGTTTATCAGTGTATTTAGGGAAGAGTTTTTGATCCCAGTTTACTGATAAATGGAAATAATTCTAGAAAGTTATTGATAGTAAATCTACTTGCATGCTAATTCATTATATTTGGCTATCATATTTAATGAATTATAAAGTCCTTTTTCTTCTCTGAACTATACAATTTAATTTTAAAAATTACACAGCAGGAAACATAGCATGTTATATAATCCAAAAAGTCTTGAAACTACTGTATTGTCCTCAAGAAACAGTGTCCTGAAGTAGAAACAGTGGATTAGGGCTAAGAATGTAAGTTTAAATGTCAGTTCTACCATTTATAAATATCATGTCCCTTAGGCAAGTCAATAAGCCTTTCTGAGCCTCCATTTCTTTATATGTAAAATGGGGATAATAATATCTTCCCTATTTATTTTAAGGGCTTGTTTTTTAGGGCCAGATAAGAAAATACAAACAAATGCCCTTTATTGACTATAAAACACTGTTATACCCAATAAGGGATGCTGCTGCTCCTAGAAACAGATTGACTTGATTTATCGTAGATAAAAACAAAACAATGAATAGAAAATGGTTATAATTAACTGATGAGATCATGGAAAACTGAGAATACCTCTGTTATATACTAATTTATGATAATAATAGCTTCCGTTTGTTGAATGCCTAAATGTGTTAGTCCTCACCCATCTCCTTTAGGGAGGCATTTCATCCATTTTGCATATGAGGAGGTTAAAGTTCAAAGAAGACAAATGACTTGCCTGCTCAACCTGGTTAGTAAGTTCCTGAACTGGAATTCAGACCCAGCTCAGTCTGGTGTAAGGTTTCACACCTTTCACATTATACCATTGTCGTAGTACTTTCTCCTTAGTTCAGTTAAAAGCAGAGGTCCTTGTCACATGACCAGGAAAGACTAGGCTCATGGACACATAGAAGGGTGAGAAAAATGGAATTTATTGGCCAAAAAGGAAAAAAAAACAACTAAGCAAAGCAAGAGAGGTTCGAGGTTCCTGTTAACAGGCCCCCATCTCACAGATTGAATCCCAGGCTACCACCCCATTACAGGAGAGGCCAGGCTCCTCCCCGCTGCAAAGGGTGTCAACTTCCCAAGGCTCCATCCTGTTGTCCCAGCACGCAGGCCGGTCAGAGGTTCTCTGGGAACCCCTTTATACTTGATTGTCTCACCATGGTGAACAATTTTTTCCTTTTTTGTCCTTTTTTCATCTGTCATAAAACAATTGCATAGCTGTTTCCAGTGTACAAAGGACTTTTACACGTACATCATTATATTTGGCAATAATGGCCGACTACCGCTACTATTTGGAAGATTTTTGTTAGTCATATGCTCATGCATAAATACAAAACATGGTGTTTTTATGAATTGTTTACATATGCAGGTATCTTGGAATTCATCAGTGTGGCAGTGGGACTGGTCAGTATTAGAGGTGTGGACAGTGGTCTCTATCTTGGAATGAATGACAAAGGAGAACTCTATGGATCAGTACGTATTATTTTTATTTTTTATTATTATTGTAATTCTTAAAATATTGACTATCTATTATGTAATTAAAATGTCTACCAAGAATGTCTGGTAGAAGTATATAAAACATACTTACGTAGAAATTGAAATCTATCCTGCTAAATTTCCATGTGTCTGGGCAATAGTATAGTAACTCAATTATATTTTTAAAACCCCCAACCATTATTACCTTCAGCTCATTAGTTCTTCCTATACATTACCTTGAGTCTTTCTAGTTTTCTCTGTATTTTAATCATTCCATCCAGAGACAGAGATAAAAGGGAGAATATTTTTTTCTTGCCATGTTAGACTCTCTCACCTTTATGTTTATTTAAGGTAAACTTTCTCTACCTGTTATCATCTTCCACAGCTAAATATACGTCACTTACTTGCTGACCTTTGTATTTAAGAAATAAGTGAGTAAAGTTGTGGGATACTGCAAGTAACAGGAGAAGATGGCAAACACACTGTTCTTCTATGCCTGTAGTCTTGAAAATTTCAGTAGCCATGGGCTCATTCAAAGTTGTATCGGGCAATTTTTAAGTTGCTCCTGGGGATAAGTGCACGTCTGTGGGTCTACTATAAATGTTTAAATATGCCACTTAAGTTATACTTTTCAGGTCAATATTTCATCAGTTTAAGTTTTTTTTTGTTTTTAGAACAAATCTGCAATAGCAACACAAGAATTAGAATAGCAGGACAATATCACACTCTACCTTACAGCACAACATGGATTTTTCTCTTTCATTGTTAACATTTTTTCATTTGTTCACAGTTGCCTAAATGCTTTTATAAGAATTGGTAAGATAAAAATGTATGCCAGTATCCCACTCCTCTTCTTATGTGAACTCTTTTCTTGAGGTTGAAGTCTCTGTAATTATTTCCATCAAGAATTGACTTTGTATGATTAAGCAGATGGCACTCTCTGGTAACTTTTTTTTCTTAAACTCTCAACTGGAACCACAATATTCAGCTAGAGTCTTAATATACACTGAGAAGAATTGGTGATGATATTGAAGTAGATGAATATTTGTCCTTTGTAAGGGTAAAACTTGTTATTTCTAGGCTTCGTGTCAGCTCAGAACAAAGAAAGACAATGCAATGTATAATAATCATAAGTATGGAATTACAATAAGATTAATAGAATTACAATAGAAAAAACATGCACACAATCTTCATGTGTATTTTGGATTTAAAAAAAGCAACTGTGGTTTATCACTTAGGACAATATACAGTCCATTTTGAAAAGACAATAAATCTTAATCGTAAAAGATCCAGATAAAAAATCGTGGAGAATGTATCATCAAACAGTTAGTAAATTCATAAAGAGAAGATATATGATTTGGAGTGATGATCATGAATTTGGAATTTGGTTCTTAGCAAGATCTTGAAATGCTCCAAGGTGAGAGTAGAGACTTGATAGGTAGAACTCTGGCCTCTAACGATGGAAAAAGATAAACTACAGGTCTGCTTGGTAGTGATGGCGGGAGTAGGGTGATGATATGGGACATGAGAAAATTCAGGATATTTTTTAGGTATTTGAAAATAAAATTGGGAACTGACATTTGACTGAAAGTTCTTTAAAGCAGGGGTCCCCAACCCCTGGGCCATAGACTGGTATTGGTCTGTGGCCTGTTAAAAACTGGGCTGCACAGCAGGAGGTGAGCAGCAGGCAAGTGAGCGAAACTTCATCTGAATTTACATGCTGCTCTCCATTGCTCACATTCCCACCTAAGCTCCGCCTCCTGTGAGATCAGCGGCAGCATTAAATTCTCATAGGAGCATGAACCCTATTGTGAACTGTGCATGCGAGGGATCTGGGTTGCATGCTTCTTATGAGAATCTAATGCCTGATGATGTGTCACTGCATCCGTTCACCCCCAGATGGGACAGTCTAGTTGCAAGAAAACAAGCTCAGGGCTCCCACTGATTCTATATTATGATGAGTTGTGTAATTATTTCATTATATATTACAATGTAATAATAATGGGAATGAAGTACACAATAAATGTAATGCACTTGGATCACCCTGAAACCATCCCGTGTCCCCATCCTGGTCCGTGGAAAAATTGTCTTCCATGAAACTGGTCAGTGGTGCCAAAGAGGTGGGGACTGCAACTTTAAAGTACACTGCCAGATGAAGTCACCTGCACTAAGAATCAGAGATGACATATGAACTAAAACAAAATAAAGCAAAACCAATTTAACCTTTTTCTTTCTTTGACAAGGCAAAGAAATGAAAATATAGAGTTGAAACTTGTAAGGAAATTATCTCAAAGGTATTTTTTTAAAAAATAATAGTTATCTTCTCTCTTTCAGGAGAAACTTACTTCCGAATGCATCTTTAGGGAGCAGTTTGAAGAGAACTGGTATAACACCTATTCATCTAACATATATAAACATGGAGACACTGGCCGCAGGTATTTTGTGGCACTTAACAAAGACGGAACTCCAAGAGATGGCGCCAGGTCCAAGAGGCATCAGAAATTTACACATTTCTTACCTAGACCAGTGGATCCAGAAAGAGTTCCAGAATTGTACAAGGACCTACTGATGTACACTTGAAGTGCGATAGTGACATTATGGAAGAGTCAAACCACAACCATTCTTTCTTGTCATAGTTCCCATCATAAAATAATGACCCAAGGAGACGTTCAAAATATTAAAGTCTATTTTCTACTGAGAGACTGGATTTGGAAAGAATATTGAGAAAAAAAACCAAAAAAAATTTTGACTAGAAATAGATCATGATCACTCTTTATATGTGGATTAAGTTCCCTTAGATACATTGGATTAGTCCTTACCAGTAGACTGAAGCCAAAAATCTGTTAAACTGTGGATAATGGGAACCCTCACATGGTTGCTGCTGGTGCCTCACCTCTCTGGATTATGTTTACTTTAAAATTTATGTTAAAAATAGAGACTTCATGTTGAAGAAATGGATTGACTTAGCCAAGAGCATTGCTACATAAATTCTGAGGACCTTGTAGAATTCACAGGTTATGGCATTATATGTTTTAAGAAAAAAAAAAACTAAACAACACCTGGGTGAAACATGAACTATGAAACATGCCACACCAAGACAGAACACTTTTTAAAAGAATGGACCTATTTATACACTTTCAATTTGAAAATATTTATTATATATATTTATTTATTAAAGAGTTTATTTTTTACTGGGATATGAAGATAATACAAAGAGTAAAAAACAACAAAACTTCCGTTATTGTGCCATTACTTTATTGTGGTGTCTTGCTCTGTAAAGAGGACATTATTATACCACCTTAACCATAGAATCAGATTTTGAATTTCTTTTTAAAATATAGTATAGATTATATTTTTTATGCAGTCAATTGCCTTCTAAATGTAACGTTGGTTTCTTTTGGCCTAGAAAAATGCCTCATTGATTTGTATTAAATTCAACACACATTCAAAAGGGAATTAAACATTTTCATGCAGTGTTTTGGCTTCATTGCTTTTCGGGTGACAGTTCTTTTATTTATATAACATTTAAAAATGACAAAATTCTAAATGCCCTAGAGAAAGACTTTAGTATTTAAAGAACTTCTAATGTTGAAAAGTATTGAACATTACAGCCAACTTATGTTTACTTATTTTCTTAATTCAGTGTGGCAAAGACCATTTCTTTCACCCAATATGATTGTAGGAAGAATAAGTCTTTGTACCACCTCCATTAACAATGGTAAGTCCCCATCTACCTGAGTCGGGTATTCTTTTCATTATATCTCTTATTTAGCCATTTATTCAGCAAACATTTTTTTTTAATTTTCTTTTTTAATTAAATTTTTATTGTGGAGATGGAGTCTTGCTATGTTGCCCAGGCTTGTCTCAAACTCCTGGCCTCAAATGATGTTCCCACCTCAGCCTCCCAAAGTATTGGGATTACAGGCATAAGCCACCATGCCTGGCACAGCACAGGTTCATTAAAGGCTACTATACAGTAGTATAGTATAGTGTCAGGCACTAGGGGAAAATGGGGTGGTCCAGATAGAGGTGGGCCCTACATCATGGAGCTTAATGGCTGGTGGGAAAGACAGATAGTAAACAAGTAAATTAACAAATACCATAATTATGAGTGGTGAGTTATTCTATGAGGAAAACAAGGTTCAGACAGAAAAAAAAAGAAAGAATAAATGTAGGATGGCTCAGAGAAAGCTTTTCTAGGGAGATTAGATTTCTGATGGGCCCTAAAGGTTAAGAAGGGGCTACCCAGGTAAAGAGAAGGATGAGAACCTTCTAGGGGGAGGAAACAATGAGTCTGGGGTTCCTAAGGCAGGAAATAGCTTTGTGGCTGGAGCTTAGTGAGCTATGGGGAGAGTGGCACAGATGAGTTTAGAAAGCTAAGCAGATACAAATTCTGATAGATTTGTAAAAGTTCTTCTAAGGTTTTATTTCCTAGTGCCCAACAGTTGTCAATGCTGCTGCCCTCATGGTTGGGCATGTAGTAATGATAGTGGACCAGATGCCACTCTTTACCAACCTGGAGAGCTGGGTAAGACAAGGATTGCTGGCCTCTACCCCCAGAGTTTCTGATGTGTAGTTCTGGGGTGGGGTCTAAAAATGTGCATCTAGTTTCACCTAGTTTCCTAGGTAATGTTGACCACACTTTGAGAGCCACTAGTCTGGAACAGTGTTTCTAACATTTAATGTACATATGAATCACATGGGGATTCTTATTAGAGGATGATCTGGGATTTTGCCTTTCTACAACATCCCAGTGATGCTTGATGTTCCTAGATCTTGAAGCACACTTTGAATGACAAGACTATTGCTTTAATGCTATCTTATTTCTATATTCGTTCACCATCTTCTTACTTACATAAATTAATGCTGATGTGTATGGTGAGAGGAGAGAGTTCAACATATGACTTTAATAAAGCGACACTTGAATGTTCGTGTATGTGAAGAGTTGGGTGTGCACTCGGGTGTGTATATGGGAGAGATAGAGAAGGAAATGTTTTAGCTCAAAACCTCTTGGTTTTATGAATATAAAAAATAGTAAAAATAGTTTAGCAGTAGTACTTAAATAATCTTCAAAATAACCCCATTTTTACTTTTATTTATAAACTAAAAAGTAAAAAACTACTTTTGGTTCAATGTTTGACATCCATATTTGAAGTACATGCCCTAAAGCAAGCATTAAGGAAATATTTTAAGTCTTTTGCAAAGTGGTTCTGGTGTCTAAAACTTGTAACTATGAGGGAAATTGTACACATTTAAAAAGACAGTACACTGATCAAAGATGTCCCCAAATAAACGTTGTTTTGCAATCAAAATTTTTTTGAGATATAACAGGAATATATTTCTAACATTTTTATTGTGACAGACATTTGTAGTAATTTGAGGAATGAAATGTGATTAAAACAATGGTTTTATAAACTTGTAGAAAATTAGAAAGTCACTGTATCTTTTAATCTTATTATGTTTATATACTGGCATCCATTCCTATGTCAGAAAAATAATTTGCCTTTGCTGGACTGACACTATTTGAAGAAATGATTATTGGGTATCCAGAGGGATTTTACTTGATACTGCTAAATGGAAGTTATATGTCAACATAGTAATTAACTCATACATGGAGAGATAAGAATAATTTGGTTTATTATCAAATCGATATTTTGAAACCAATTTATTATATTCTCAGGATGCTAGTGAGAAACTTCATCTGTTATCCTTTTCGTCTCCTTATTTTCTTCATTTAAAAATGTTCTATTAGTAATTATAAATTAACTTTCAGTTTTTATTCTTTTATATTGGAATATTAACTACCAATTGCCAAACTCCTCCACATTTTCTGCAATGATAAGAGAAATCTAAGCATATGGGGGTGGAGAAAACTCTTGGTCTGTCGATTCCAAAGGGTTTGGTTTTTAGACAAATGCAATGTCAAAACAAGGAATTTATTTTATTTATTTATTTTTTATTTTACTTTAAGTTCTAGGATACGTGTGCAAAACATGTAGGTTTGTTATGTAGGTATACATGTGCCGTGGTTTGCTGCACCTACCAACTTGTTTTCTAGGTTTTAAGCCCCACATGCATTAGGTATTTGTCTTAATGCTCTTCCTCCCCTGCCCCCCATCCCCCAACAGGCCCCAGTGTGTGATGTTCCCCTCCCTGTGTCCATGTGTTCTCATTGTTCAACTTCCACTTATGAGTGAGAACATGCAGTGTTTGGTTTTCTGTTCCTGTGTTACAAAACAAGGAATTTATGCCACTAACCCTTTGTGAGATTATAGATCTATCATAAACTTAATGTATAAAAGTAAGAAAGCCATTCAGGCTGTCACTTATGTTCATAATGCAGTTATGGCAATTTCCAGCTTTGTGAATTAGCTAATCATCAGAAATATCTCATATATAATAAAAGCCTGGCTTCAATAGAAAAGTTGTTAAGCCTACAGATACAATGAGTCCTCACTTAATGTTACTGATATATTCTTGGAAACAGTGATACTAAGCAAAAGGACATATAATGAAACCAGTTTTACTGTGGGATAATTGATATAACAAAAGGTACATTCCTATGGCATGTGTCTGATCACAAAAATATCACCAACCCTCTGACTAATGTAGAAATCAAAATAAACTTTTAGAGATGCATCTCTAAGCTTAACGTTTTTGTTGGGGAAGCAAGAATAGCAATGTGAGTCTTTCGCATGTCCAAAGAACAAAGAGAAGGTTAGAAATTTTACAAAAAGGAGAAATGTTCTGTATCATTTTGAAAGAAAGTTCAATTGACACTAGTAAAATGTGGGGAGCTGGCAAGTTCTGATTGGTGAGTGACTGCAGTGGATAGAACTAGTCTTAGGGTCCTAACAGGTTGTTTCTGTAGATATTAGATGAAACTGGTCTCCAGTTATAGCAGGCAGTTTCAGCAGCCAGGCTTGCAGAGAATTACATTCTTGGGGCAATGCTATATGCCCTGAGTGCTCTCTTCCCTCTGGCTTCTTGACTCTGTTTTAGTTGGTTATGACATGAATGACTCAGTTTATATGCTTAACTTTCACACTAATGACCCAAAACACTTTTAATGTTGAACATTGAAATAAATGTCAGTCACATGTACATTTAAGAAAGATTAATAAAAACATAATGTGATGATAATTATTTACTCAATATTTGGTGAATCAGTAAATGACTGTGATTATGGTGGTAGTAGGTTAAATCAAGGAATCAATGTTTGAAAAGCAAAAATTTTTAGGATCACCTCTTACCACCGTGCAATTTACAAACAAATAATGAATGTGGCGGACTTGCTGAGCACTTTCCTATCTCATCTCTTGTCCTGCATTGGTATGATTATTGTACACTTGACAAATTTTTATTTTCCAATAATTTGTATCCATTCATTCGTTTTCCAACTCTCTTATTCAAGTTCAGGGTTTCTAGGTGGCTGGAATCTATTCCGGCAGCTCCAGGGACAAGGTAGAAACCAGCCTGGATAGGATGTCATGCCACCACAGGGCACATTTATGCACACATACACTCTCACAAACAGACAGGGACCATTTACACATACTAATTAGCCTAATGTACACATTTTAGGAAAGTGGGAGAAAACCAGAGTACCTGGCTAAAACCCATGCAAACATGGAGATAACATGCCAACTCCACGCAGGCAGTGGCTGTGCTGTGGAGCCATTTGTTTTCTCATCAACTTTATAATAAAATGACATTGAATGAAATGATTTTAGGTGAGGACCTGCTGCACATGCTTTCTAATTTCTAATAATAAAGTTTTAAAAAGCCATTACATATTCTTGGTAAGTGAGAAATCAGTCCCTTAAGTAACCTTTATATGTTCAGTGCATACTGCTTCTACTAGCAAAAATAACTGGAGGCAGCCAGGGATGTTTAGTCCAAATTAATCCAGATTTCAAGATTCTGACAGTCAACACTTAGACTAATAAAAAAAGGTATGGCCTCAAAGAGGATTGTGCTCTGTTGTTCCTAAGAGATACTCCTGGATCCTTTGGCATATATTTGCATTCTAAATCATATTTTAAAATTTTAAGGAAGAGTTTTTAGATTATCAATTACCCTAAAATATTGTTGACACTTTATTGTGTGTGTTTTTTTTTTCTCATTTTTTTTTTGACAGAGTCTTGCTCTGTCGCCAGGCTGGAATGCAGTGGCACTATCTCGGCCCACTGCAACCTCTGCCTCCCGGGATCAAGCAGTTCTCTGCCTCAGCCTCCTCAGTAGCTGGGATTACAAATGCCCACCACCATGCCCGGCTAATTTCTTTGTGTGTTTTTAGTAGAGACAGGGTTTCACCATCTTGGCCAGGCTGGTCTTGAACTCCTGAGCTCGTGATCCACCCGCCTCGGCCTCCCAAAGTGCTGGGACTACAAGTGTGAGCCACCGCGCTCGGCCTATTGTGTTTTTTTAAAGAGAGGGTTCTGAGTGAGATCTAATCTTTTCTAGTATAAGCACCAGTTTGAAAGACTCACACTTACAGGAGTAGGTACATAGGATTGTGTTAGCTTTCCATTGCTATGTAACAAATTACAGCAAACGCAGACACTTAACACCCAAGTATTATCTCACAGCTCTGTTAGTCAGAGGCCAAGAAAGCTTGTCTGGGTTGTCTGCTCAGGTTCTCTGAAATCAAATTTTGTACATTTTCAATACTTCCCATTAATGTCTTCAAAGATATTAATGACCAGGCAATGTTTTTGCATCCATGAATATTTAAAGTTCATTTTAAGATATTTAATGTTCACACTGCCTGGGTTGCCGGAGTTTTGTTTCCTTCAACTATATTCTTTGTACTGAATGCCCCTCCTCCGGTGGGGATGCTAGTTGGTCTTTGCTTTTTTTGTTGGGCTGGGGAACCAGGTGGAATTACATTTACTCATTGCAGATGTGTAAAGACAGAATGAGAGAACTAATTATCTAGGAGGCAGTGAAGGAGTTGGCATGGAGAAGCTGAAGTAGAAGTTAGAGCATCAGTTGCATGTAAATGGAATTTTGGTTGCTTGGAGCCAAATCTGAAAATCTCTCCATTGTAATGAAGGGCCATAACGTTTGCTGTGTAATATCACTAAACATTTTAGTGGCCAGATGGTGGATTTTAAAATTTGTCCAGTTCTAGTGAGACAGTTATTTTAACCCTAAGTTAAAACTAACTCTAGTTAGTTTTAACCTAAGTTCTAGAGATAAATACATGGCCCAGGTTGACCAGTCTTACATGTGATCTTGGCCACAGTATTTATTTTATTTTATTTATTTACTTATGAGACAAAGTCTTGCTCTGTCGCCCAGGCTGGAGTGCAGTGGCACGAGCTCGGCTCACCTGCAACTTTGCCTTCTGGGTTCAAGAAAATCTACTGCCTCAGACTCCTGAGTTGCTGGGATTACAGGCGCCCACCACAACGCCTTGCTAACTTTTGTATTTTTAGTAGAGACGGGGTTTCACCATGTTGGCCAGGCTGGTCTTTAACTCCTGACTTGAAGTGATCCACCCACCTTGGCCTCCCAAAATATTGAGATTACAGGAGTGAGCCTCTGTGCTTGAGCATCCATAGTATTTAAATTAAGGATTGGCATGTGATCCAAGCATTCCAGGCAAAGTCCTGCCTGGTATTCCGGCTGAAACTCTAAAGAAAGTCAGGTTCTCTCCTTTGAGGGCAGGGATTTAGAACCTTAAAGGTTTAGAACTTTAGGTCCGTCTGTGCTGCCTTGAAGGGAAATCCTACCCAAAGTTAAAGCCAAAACTAAGGAAAGTAGGACAGATAGATAGGGAGGGACATGGAAGATTACTCCCAGGTCTTGAAACCTCATCAAGGAACTCCCAACATTGTTCTGAACAGATCTGAGAATTGCCATAAACAAGTAACTCCTTTGTACCTTCCATTTCTTTCTTTTTGAATACAAATATTGATAGCTTTTATTTTATGCCTATTCTACCATTGGGTGTGTTGGGTGTGTTGGGGGAATAAAACTTGTCTTTTTGGTCTCATGTAGTCTCATGGTGCCACAGATTGAGAAGAGTATGCTTGAATTTGTACTTAACTAATTACGCCCCAGGAATCTCCTCCAAATCTACATCTATTTTTTATTTTAAAATTTGTTTATTTTTTGTTATTATGGATTTAGGTGGTACAAGTGCAGTTTTGTTACATGGATGTATTGTGTAGTAGTGAAGTCTGGGTTTTTAGTGTAGCCATTACTACAGTAGTGTACATCATACCCATTTTCATCCCTCATCCCATCCCACTCTCCCACCTTCTAAGTCTCCACCGTCTATTATTCCACTCTCCCTGTCTATGCTACACCTCATTAAAATAATGAAATTTTGGACTTTCAGATGTTGCAATGGGTTGATACTTTGGAGAAACTTGGGAGACAGTGAATGTACTTTTCATGCAAAAGGGACACGAATCATTGCAGCTAGGAGTCGACTGTAGTGGACAGATTCCAAAGTGCTCCTCCCTACAATCCCTGCCTTCTGGTGCTCATGCTTTTGTGTAATTTCCTGTGAGGCACTTGTGACTTACTTCTACAAATAGAATATAGCAAAGGGGAGGGCTGTCATGCCTATGATCATGCTGAATAAGAGTCTACTTTGCTAGTAGATTTGCTCTAGAGACTCATTGCTCAGTTGATGAAGTCAGCCGCCGTGCTGGGAAAACCAGGAGTGGTGACGAACTGCAGGCGGCCTCTAAGGTGTGAGCAGCCTTCAGTCAATAGTCAGCCACAAGCTGGGGACCTCAGTCCTACAACAGCAAGAAATTAAATTCTGCCAACAATCTGAGTGAGCATGGGGGTGGATTCGTCACCAGTCAAGCCTCAAGATAAAAATGTAGTCTGCTGGTTACAGGTTTGAGAACCCCTGAGCTGAGGGCCCCACTAAACCCTGCTTGAACTCCTGACACACAGAAACAGTGAGATAATCAATGCATGTTATTTTAAGCCACTAAGTGTATAGTAATGTATTTTACAAAAATAGGCAACACATACATTTATTAACTCAAGGGAAGAGTTACTGTATTTTTTTTTTTTTTTTTTTTTTTTTTGAGACAGAGTCTTTCTCTGTCTCCATGCTGGAGTGCAGTGGCATGATCTCATCTCACTGTAACCTCCACCTCCCAGGTTCAAGCAATTCTCCTGTCTCAGCCTCCCGGGTAGCTGGGATTACAGGCATGCACCACCACCCTCGGCTAATTTTTGTATTTTTAGTAGTAATGGGATTTCACCATGTTGGCCAGGCTGGTCTCGAACTCCTGACCTCAGGTGATCTGCTTGCCTTGGCCTCCCAAAGCATGGAACATTTATTGTTAATCATATATGACCCCAGCATTCTGAGTTATTTGCTGGTGTCTGTTTTTCTCTTTTTTTATGCCTTCATCTCTGACCCTAGCCTTGGAACTGTTACTCAAACCAAATGCATTCTTGGACATGCCCCATAATTGTGGCGTGGTTACTTCTCTGCCTGAATGAAGTAACTTAACTTCTTCCTTTACTACTGAGATGACAGATGGTGCTGATAATGACGACATTAAATCAAATTTATTTTTTCTCATCTGGCACACTCAGATATAAGCTTCCTCTGCTTTTTAACATAAATATTACAAAGGAGAAGGCATGAGTGATCTTTCATGACATAGAGAGATCTCACATGTTTGTTTCCAACTCTTTTATATGTCATTCAAATTATCTTTTGGTGATTAAATGGTCCAGGCCTTGTTGGTACCATTCTCATGGAACATTGGTCCATATTTTCCGAGATGAAGGCAGTTTTGTCACCTTTCAAATGGTCGAGTCCCTCCAGCCTGCAAATGAAGGATTTGTCCTACCACGTTCCACCCTCGACTTTTCTGTTGATTGGGAAAGAATGGATGCAATATTCTTTGAGGCATCATTTTATTTTATGTTTGGTCATTATCCAAAGTAAAATGGGTGAAGGGAATTTGTGTCTGTCTAATTTAACAATGGCCTAAAATAGGCAAAATAATGACACCTGGCCCATCAATAACAAGGGCACAAACTTTCAAGATGGACACTTCTACTGAAGCAGCTAGAAGACCATTCTTTACAAGTACTAAACTGGTTATTTATTGGGGCATTATATTCTTCTTGTTTTCAAGTTTATTTAATTTTATTTCTAACGGCCTTTTCATCTAGTATTCAGTTTTTATAAGGTGGTTCAATTTCAGTTCATTTCCATCAAAGATCTACAACCAGAAGTTGTGCCCAATTAACTTCAGACTTTTGGTTTCAGAGATTAGCAGAGATGATATCTTGGCCCTCTAGTTATATTTCACTTTCCTCTGTTGAAAATACCCCCTAAATTATGATATTTTTGTGAATATTGTAGTGTTTATTAGTGTAATTTATTTAATGCATGTAATTCCTTGTCCCAGTGTTAGATTGCACAGCCTTTTCCTACTGACAGAGAAGGGATCCCGTATGACACTTCTAGTTCTTTAGAATAAGTTGAGATTCAAAAAAATTGTTTTGAGACAAGGTCTTGCTCTGTCACCCAGGCTGCAGTGCAGTGGTACGATCACAGCCCACTGAAGCCTTAATCTCCTGGGCTCAAGCTATCTTTTCTGCCTCAGCCTTATGAGTAGCCAGGACTATAGGTATGTGCCGCCATGCCCAGCTAATTTTTAAAACTTTTAGTAGAGATGAGGTCTAGTTATGTAGCCCAAGCTGGTCTCAAACTCCTGAGCTCAAATGATCCTCCTGCTTCAGCTTCTCAAAGTGCTGGGATTACAGGCATGAACCAGTGCACCTGGCCAATCCAGATATTTTTATGGAACTTATAACTAATACTATTCTAAGATTTCCAAGCTGAGCCTATTTACCAAACCTACTGTGTATGAGTAACGTGTACAGGGTTAAGGCTGAAGAAGCTGAAGTAGAGCAAGGTAGATAAATATTTAATTAAATTGGCTCAATGGTTTCACTTCTTATTGAACAGAATACTTCTGCACACCACACGTGGATGTTGTAAGTTCCTTAACAGTTTTTTTTTCTTTTAAATGGCCGAAATATATAAATAATACCATAATGCGGTACTAAATGAAGGAGCAGTTTTGATCGATAATGTTTACACCTAGTGAGCCACGATATTTCCCTGACACCTTTGTGGGACTTGTTAAGGGGTTGCTCTGTTTACTCAGCCCACAGCTCTCAATTCCTCGTGGGAGGAAGCACGCAAGTGAACGAGGTGGGAACTGCAGTACACAAGCATTGGAAACAGCTGGCTA
Organism: Homo sapiens; assembly: GCF_000001405.40. NCBI lineage: Eukaryota > Metazoa > Chordata > Mammalia > Primates > Hominidae > Homo > Homo sapiens. Next base: position 16,982,392 of record NC_000008.11, on the reverse strand, counting down.
CTCCAAGCACCTGGTGCCAGCAGGAGCAAACGCCACTCACTTAGACCTGCTGCATTCCACCCCTAGCAGGAGGAGTCATGCAGGTGAGCAGGCGCAGGAGCCAGGGCAAGTGCTTTTCAGCATCTGTAGGAGCCAACTCTGTGCTGGCCCCATGGCAGTGTATCAGGGTGGGGGGTGTCCGCAACCCCTCAAGCCCCAGAGGGAGTGTTACAGTACTCTTTTAGCTCTACCATCCATGGATGGCTTCAGTGTCAAGAGCTCAGAGGGCCCTCTGCCTTCTCACATGAAGAGGCTGCCTTCTGCCAGCGAGGGCAAAGGGCAAGTGTGACAGCCTTTTGCATCTGCATTCGTGGATCTCAAGCTCTTCTCCAGTGCCCAGGAGAAATGAGGGCGCATGAGTGAGTTGAAGGATGGTAAATGCAGGGGATTTTATTGCCGATGGAGGTGGATCTCGGTGGGAAGGGGAGCTGAAGAGGGGATGGAGTGGGAAGGTAATCTGCCCCTGAAGTCCGGCCATCTCTGGCAAGATTCTTCTCTGAAGTTACACCATCAGGCCATCCCTCTGAAGTCAAGCTGCTTCTCTCCAAAGTCCAGATGCTTCTCCCTCTGCCAGCTGAGCCTGGGGTTTTTATGGGTGCAGATGGGGGATGGGGTGGACCATGGGTTGTTTTGGAAAAGGCAACATTCAAGTTGGGAAACAGGAATACAAGTTCTCACTTTGGGTTGCAGTTTCAGGATTGAGGGTGGGGTTTTGTTGGTAACCCACCCTTTTCTGCCTAGAATTTCTCTGCCTCCTCTCCCTATCACTAGTACCAATTCATCTCCTAGCGTGTACTTACAAAGTGTGCAATATGATTTGTTTTGATACATTGTTTTTTACTTTTTCTAAAGCATGTTAGAGTAAGTTGCATTGCTCTTGTGGTTATTTTCTTCCCAACATAACTCTAGTTTAAGGGCACAAATAAATTTTGCAGTCTGACTCATAAAAGCGGCCAAATGTTGACTGGCTACTTTTGCTTAACTGCAGTTCTGTAAGAGAATTAAGCTCTATAGAAAATGATGACAGTGGCTGTTTTCTTAATTCTCCCAGGGAACATATCTGGTATATTTTAGACGTATAGAAGCTGATGTATTACACATAATGGGTTTTTTTTTTTTTTTTTTTAGGACTGAATTCTCTCAGGAATCCTGTTGAGGGCTTATTGTAAGTCTGGCTGTAGTATTGTTAGAATAGCCTCATATCTCTGGAAGAATTGACTATTTCTCATAGAAGTTAGGTGTGTTAGTATAATTCTATTTGTAGCTTAACTAAAGTTTCATATGCAACAAGATTTTTAATGTTTGGGTAGCATCATTGTAATCTGGGTATGACTCCAAAGCCAATTAGATCTAATGAGACTCTAAAGGGTCTGTTCTATTTAATATCTTTTGCATTACTGCCCTAGATGCCCCATCAGATTGCAATGTAATGTTTCAGTTACATGGAGCACCTGCATTGCCTGGGAAACGTGGCAAGACATGCTTACTGAACATTCTACCCAGTAAATAGAAGTATTCAATTTACATTATAGTACTGCTGAAAATATTCTAGTATTCTTTTTGATCATGTTGATACACTAATTTCCCAGAGACTATCTAGAATGTCTTCAACTCAATTTTCATTAGCATTGATTAGCTTCTGTAGTTGCTGTAATAGAACAGATTGATCTCTTTCCTGGTTGAGTGTGTTCCCTATGTCCCAGTCATTGCCTATAGATGCTGTTCAATATATGATTGGATATAATTAATACATTGAGACCATGGCTCTTCTCCATATAGAACCTATGGCATGGGAGGGAGGCTGAAACCTATCAAACCGTCCATGATGGCTGGACTATTAACAGTTTCCATATATGCTGAAAGTAGCCTTCGTTTATCAGAGTAAGAAACCTTACATTCAGGTCCCCAAAGTGCAGTAGATTGGGACAAGTTGGGCATAGTGAAGTTGTATCTTCATCTTGTATAGTAACATTCATCAATGGAGTAGAAGTATTAGCGAACTATGCAAGAAAAAAAAATAGCCAAAGGCTTCCTAGTTTTAGAAGATTTCTGGGTTTTAAAGTAAAGTTCCTTTGGATTCCTAGGCAAGATGGCTGAATAGGAACAGCTCTGGTCTGCAGCATCCAGTGGGACCAATGCAGAAGGTGGGTGATTTCTGCATTTCCAACCGAGGTACCTGGTTCATCTCACTGGGACTGGTTAGACAGTGGATGCAGCCCACAGAGGGAACGCAGAAGCAGAGTGAGGCGTTGCCTCACGCAGGAAGTGCAAGCGTTCAGGGAACTCCCTCCCCTAGCCAAGGGAAGCCATGAGACTCTGCCGTGAGGGACAGTGCTATTTGGCCCAGATACTATGCTTTTCCCATGGTCTTTGCAACCCGCAGACCAGGAGATTCCCTTGGGTGTCTACACCACCAGGGCCCTGGGTTTCAAGCACAAAACTGGGCAGCCATTTGGGCAGACACTGAGCTAGCTGCAGTTTTTTTTTCGTACCCCAGTGGTGCCTGGAATGCTAGCAAGACAGAACCATTCACTTCCCTGGAACGGGGGCTGAGGCCAGGGAGCTGAGTGGTCTTGCTCAGCGGATCTCACCCCCACAGAGCCCAACAAGCTAAGATCTACGGGCTTGAAATTTTCACTGCCAACACAGCTGTCTGAAGTTGATTTGGGATGCTCGAGCTTGGTGGGGGGAGGGGCGTCTGCCATTACTGAGGCTTGAGTAGGTGGTTTTCCCCTTACAGTGTAAACAAAGCCTCTGGGAAGTTCAGACTGGGCCGAGCCCTCCGCAGCTTCGAAAAGCCACTGTAGCCAGACTGCTTCTCTATATTCTTCCTCTCTGGGCAGGGCATCTCTGAAAGAAAGGCAGCAGCCCCGGTCAGGGGCTTATCGATAAAACTCCCATCTCCCTGGGACAGAGCACCTGGGGGAAGGGGTGTCTGTGGGTGCGGCTTCAGCAGACTTAAATGTTCCTGCCTGTCAGCTCTGGAGAGAGCGGCAGATCTCCCAGTACGGCACTCGAGCTCTGCTAAGGAACAGACTGCCTCCTTAAGTGGGTCCCTAACCCCTTTGCCTCCTGATGGGGAGACACCTCCCAGCAGGGACCAACAGACACCTCATACAGGAGAGCTCTGGCTGGCATCTGGCCGGTGCCCCTCTGGGACGAAGATTCCAGAGGAAGGAGCAGGTAGCAATCTTTGCTGTTCTGCAGCCTCCCCTGGTGATACCCAGGCAAACAGCGTCTGGAATGGATCTCCAGCAAACTCCAGCAGACCTGCAGCAGAGGGGCCTGACTGTTAGAAGGAAAATTAACAAACAGAAAGCAATAGCATCAACATCAACAAAAAGGATGACTATGCAAAAACCCCATCTGAAGGTCACCAACATCAAAGACCAAAGGTAGATAAATCCATGAAGATGAGTGCAAAAAGGCTGAAAATACCAAAAACCAGAATGCCTCTTCTCCTCCAAAGGATCACAACTCCTCGCCAGCAAGAGAATAAGTTTGATGAATTGACGGAAGTAGGCTTCAGAAGGTGGGTAATAACAAACTCCTCCGAGCTAAGGGAGCTTGTTCTAACCGAATGCAAGGAAGCTAGGAACCTTGATATAAGGTTACAGGAACTGTTAACTAGAATAACCAGTTTAGAGAATAACATAAATGACCTGATGGAGCTGAGAAACACAGCACGAGAACTTTGTGAAGCATACATAAGTATCAATAGCTGAATCAATCAAGCAGAAGAAAGAATATCAGAGAATGAAGATCAACTTAATGAAATAAAGTGAAAAGACAATATTAAAGAAAAAATAATGAAAAGGAACAAACAAAGCTTCCAAGAAATATGGGACTATGTGAAAAGACGAAACCTATGTTTGATTGGTGTACCTGAAAGTGACAGGGAGAATGGAACCAAGTTGGAAAACACACTACAGGATATTATCCAGGGGAACTTCCCCACCTAGCAAGACAGGCCAACATTCAAATTCAGGAAATACAGGGAACACCACAAAGATACTCCTTGAGAAGAGCAACCACAAGACACATAATCATTAGATTCACTAAGGTTGAAATGAAGGAAAAAATGTTAAGGGCAGCCAGAGAGAAAGGTCGGGTTACCCACAAAGGGAAGCCCATCAGACTAACAGCGAATCTCTCTGCAGAAACTATACAAGCCAGAAGAGAGTGGGGGCCAATATTCAACATTCTTAAAGAAAAGAATTTTCAACCCAGAATTTCGTATCCAGCCAAACTAAGCTTCATAAGTGAAGGAGTAATAAAATCCTGTACAGACAAGCAAATGCTGAGGGATTTTTTTCACCACCAGGCCTGCCTTGCAAGAGCTCCTGAAGCAAGCACTAAATATGGAAAGGAAAAATCGGTACCAGTCACTGAAAAAACACCAAAATGTAAAGACCATTTACACTATGAAGAAACTGCATCAAAGAATGGGCAAAATAACCAGGTAGCATCATAATGACAGAATCAAATTCACACGTAACAATATTAAACTTAAATGTAAATGGACTAAATGCCCCAATTAAAAGACACAGACTGGTAAATTGGATAAGGAGTCAAGACCCATTGGTGTGTTGTATTCAGGAGACCCATCTCACATGCAAAGACACACATAGGTTCAAAATAAAAGGATGGAGGAAGATTTACCAAGCAAATGGAAAACAACAAACAAACAAACACAGGGGTTGCAATCCTAGGCTCTGATAAAACAGACTTTAAACCAACAAAGATCAAAAAAGACAAAGAAGGGCATTATGTAATGGTAAAGGGATCAATGCAACAAGAAGAGCTAACTATCCTAAATATATATGCACCCAATACAGGAGCACCCAGATTTATAAAGCAAGTTCTTAGAGACCTACAAAGACACTTATACTCCCACACAGTAATAGTGGGAGACTTTAACACCCCACTGTCAATATTAGATGAATGAGACAGAAAATTAATAAGGATATTCAGGAATTGAACCCAGCTCTGGACCAAGCAGATTTAATAGACATCTACAGAACTCTTCACCCCAAATCAACAGAATATACATTCTTCTCAGCACCACATACCACTTATTTTAAAATTGACCACATAATTGGAAATAAAACACTCCTCAGCAAATGCAAAAGAACGGAAATCATAGCAAACAATCTCTCAGACCACAGTGCAATCAAATTAGAACTCAGGTTTAAGAAACTCACTCGAAACTGCACAACTACATGGAAACTGAACAACCTGCTCCTGAATGACTGCTGGGTAAATAATGAAATTAAGGCAGAGATAAATAAGTTCTTTGAAAGCAATGAGAACAAAGACACAATGTACCAGAATCTCTGGGACACAGCTAAAGCAGTGTTTAGAGGGAAATTTATAGTACTAAATGCCCACAGAAGAATGTAGGAAATCAACACCCTAACATCACAATGAAAAGAACTAGAGAAGCAAGAGCAAACAAATTCAAAAGCTAGCAGAAGACAAGAAATAACTAGGATCAGAGCAGAACTGAAGGAGATAGAGACATGAAAAACCCTTCAAAAAATCAATGAATCCAGGAGCTGGTTTTTTGAAAAGATTAACAAAATTGATAGACTGCTAGCCAGAATAATAAAGAAGAAAAGAGAGAAGAATCAAATAGATACAATAAAAAATGATAAAGGGGATAGCACCACTGATCCCACAGAAATACAAACCACCATCAGAGAATACTATAAACACCTCTACGCAAATAAAGTAGGAAATCTAGAAGAAATGGATAAATTCCTGGACACGTACACCCTCCCAAGACTAAACCAGGAAGAAGTTGAATCCCTGAATAGACCAATAACAAGACTTCAAATTGAGGCAGTAATTAATAGCCTATCAACCAAAAAAAGCCCAGGAGCAGACAAATTCACAGCTGAATTCTACCAGAGGTACAAAGAGAAGCTGTTACCATTCCTTCTAGAACCATTCCAAACAATAGGAAAAGAGTGAAACCTCCCTAACTCATTTTATGAGGCCAGCCTCATCCTGATACCAAAACGTGGCAGAGACACAACAAAAAAAGAAAATTTCAGGCCAACATCCCAGATGAACATCAATGTGAAAATCCTCAATAAAATACCAGCAAACCAAATCCAGCAGCACACTGAAAAGCTTATCCAACACAATCAAGTTGGCTTCATTCCTGGGATGCAAGGCTCATTCAAAATATGCAAATCAATAAATGTAATCCATGACATAAACAGAGCCAATGACAGAAACCACATGATTATCTCAATAGATGCAGAAAAGGCCTTTGATAAAATTCAACACCTTCATGTTAAAACACTCAATGAGCTAGGCATTGATGGAACATATCTCAAAATAATAAGAGCTACTTATGACAAACCCACAGCCAATATCATACTGAATGAGCAAAAGCTGGAAGCATTCCCTTTGAAAACTGGCACAAGACAAGGATGCGCTCCTTCACCACTCCTATTTGACGTAGTATTGGAAGTTCTGGCCAGGGCAATCAGGCAAGAGAAAGAAATAAAGGGTATTCAAATAGGAAAAGAGGAAGTAAATTTATCTCTGTTTGCAGATAACATGATTGTATATTTAGAAAACCCCATCGTCTTAACCCAAAACCTCCTTAAGCTGATAAGCAACGTCAGCAAAGTCTCAGGATACAAAATCAATGTGCAAAAGTCACACGCATTCCTATACATCAATAATAAACAGAAAGCCAAATCATGAGTAAACTGCCATTCACAATTGCTACAAAGAGAATAAGATACCTAGGAATCCAACTTACAAGGGATGTGAAGGACCTCTTCAAGGAGAACTACAAACCACTGCTCAAGGAAATGAGAGGACACAAATGGAAAAACATTCCATGCTCATGGATAGGAAGAATCAATATCATGAAAACGGCCACACTGTCCAAAGTAATTTATAGATTCAATGCTATCCCCATCAAACTACCATTGACTTTCTTCACAGAATTAGAAAAAACTACTTTAAATTTCATATGGAACAAAAAAAGAGCATGTATAGCCAAGACAATCCTATGCAAAAAGAAAAAGCTGGAGGCATCACGCTACCTGACTTCAAACTATGCTACAAGACTACAGTTACCAAAACAGCACGATACTGGTACCAAAACAGATATATAGATAAGTGGAACAGAACAGAGGCCTCAGAAATAACACCACACATCTATAACCATCTGATTCTTGACAAACCTGATAAAAACAAGCAATGGGGAAAGGATTCCCTATTTAATAAATGGTGTTGGGAAAACTGGCTAGCCATATGCAGAAAACTGAAACTGGACCCCTTCCTCACACCTTATACAAAAATTAACTCAGGATGGATTAAAGATTTAAACATAAGACCTAAAACCATAAAAACCCTAGAAGAAAACCTAGGCAATACCATTCAGGACGTAGGCATGGGCAAAGACTTAATTACTAAAACACCAAAAGCAATTGCAACAAAAGCCAAAGTTGACAAATGGGATATAATTAAATTAAAGAGCTTCTGCATAGCAAAAGAAACTATCAACAGAGTGAAGAGACAACCTACTGAATGGGAGGAAATTTTTGCAACCTATCCGTCTGACAAAGGTCTAATATCCAGACTCTACGAAGAAGTTAAACAAATTTACAAGAAAAACAAACAAACAACCCCATCAAAAAGTGGGCGAAAGATATGAACACATACTTTTCAAAAGAAGACATTTATGCGGCCTACAAACTTATGAAAAAAAGCTCATCATCACTGGCCATTAGAGAAATGCAAATCAAAACCATAGTGAGATACCATCTCATGCCAGTTAGAATGGCGATCATGAAAAAGTCAGGAAACAACCGAAGCTGGAGAGGATGTGGAGAAATAGGAATGCTTTTACACTGTGGGTGGGAGTGTAAATTAGTTCAGCCTTTGTGGAAAACAGTGTGGTGGTGATTCCTCAAGGATCTAGAACTAGAAATACCATTTGACTCAGCAGTCCCATACTGGGTATATACCCAAAGGATTATAAATCATTTTACTATAAAGACACATGCACAAGTATGTTTATTGCAGCACTATTCACAATAGCAAAGACTTGGAACTAACCCAAATGCCCATCAATGATAGAATGTATAAAGAAAATGAGGCACATATACACCAGGGAATATCATGCAGCCATAAGAAAGAATGAGTTCATGTTCTTTGCAGGGACGTGGATGAAGCTGGAAACCATCATTTTCAGCAAACTAACACAGGAACAGAAAACCAAACGTTGCATGTTCTCACTCATAAGTGGGAGTTGAACAATGAGAACATATGGGCACAGGGAGGGGGATGTCACATACTGGGGTCTGTTGGGGGGTAGAGGGCAGGGGAAGGATAGCATTAGGAGAAATACCTAATGTAGATGACGGGTTGATGGGTGCAGCAAACCACGATGGAACGTGCATACGTATGTAACAAACCTGCACATTCTGCACATGTATCCCAGAACTTAAAGTATAATTAAAAAAAAATTAAAGTTCCTTTGTCTCTTTTTGGCAAAATATTTAGTGTTTCCAGGTTCCTCAGCTTATAAAGTTCCTTTTACATTTTGGCTTCTAGGTGGTTAACCTGTACCTTCTCAACCATTTTGTGAAAGGTATTTTAATATTTATTTTAACATATCTGGCAGTCAGAAACAATATCTATCCTTCTTTTATCAATAAAATTTTTCCCAACATGGTTAAAATATAAAAAAACCCTTAGAACCATATGTTTCCTTTTACTTTTTTAACCAACTAATCTTTCCCCCACTGAACCATTACTCTCTGTCCCAATTCAGAAAAGAAGTCAGCTCTACTACTTTCTCTCCAGTGTTTTAATGAAGAAGAACTCAGGACTAATCATTCTCTATTACATCAGATCTCTTCATGGTGGTGAATATGGCCAACTATGTCTGAGGCTTACAGTTACCTCATCTTGTTTGCCATGGGGCCTGAGTTATGACATGTGGTACTCTGAAAGGAGCAATTACTGAGAAGGTAAATAGTTTTTTTGAGTAAGACTCTACTTGCAATCATTTTGTTTGCCCTGAAACTGGGATTTGGATAGATATAACTTATTCTGTTTGAAATAATGGTATTGGGCCGGGCGCGGTGGCTCACGCCTGTAATCCCAGCACTTTGGGAGGCCGAGGCACGCAGATCACCAGGTCAGGTGATCAAGACCATCCTGGTTAACACGGTGAAACCCCGCCTCTACTAAAAATACAAAAAATTAGCCAGGCGTGGTGGCGGCTGTAGTCCCAGCTACTCAGGAGGCTGAGGCAGGAGAATGGCATGAACCCAGGAGGGGGAGCTTGCAGTGAGCCTAGATCATGCCACTGCACTCCAGCCTGGGCGACAGAGCGAGACTCCGTCTCAAAAAAAAAAAAAAAAAAAAAAAAAAAAAAAAAAAAAAGAAATAACGGTCTTGGAGACGTATTAGAGCAAAAAGTGCAGAGGTCAAGGACAGTATTTCTTAGAAGCAATGTACCTTTGGAATCAGTATGGGTGCCCTTGTCAAGGGCTGGTCTCCAGCAGGGCAGCACAATCTGTGATGGCTTCATATCTCTTTGGAGATCAATATGACTCTCTATTGACTGTACTGTTTCCATTTAAGAATGGAAATCTCATTTGCTCATTCCTCCTTGAGAGTAATGAGGTTTCAGGTATAAGGCAATTAATGGGGGTAGCAAAAGAATTTGATGTTCTGTTTATGAACTGCTGTTTTAACTATGGCACAGTAAGTGGCTGGCAATTGTCTTTCAAAATGAGAACACTATTTGGCAGACTTGACAGCTTTGTCATTTGATTTGGGACATGCCGATGGCTCCACATCAAGGGCAGAGAGGTCAGAAAGTTGCTTGTGCAAGCTTTAAGGCATTTTGTTGTTCAGGATGCTGTGCAATTGAATGATGAGACTACAGCATAACACCCAGATGTGTCACTATCCACACATGACACTTGTTTCTTTGCCTCCTGTTTGGTGATGTGGCTCTCAAGGATAAAATTTTTGTCTCATTCAGTGCATAGTTTGTTTGCTCCAAATAATGCTACTCTCACAAATGTTGTTTGGTGAAGGGCCCTTGAATTTTTTTCTTGTTAATTGTTCTAGCATTTTTAGTCATCAAACTAACGAGGAAAGACAGAGTTCAGTTATGATTATTTCTGACTGCTGATCAATATGACATCTATGAAAAGGATGAAATTTCTCCTTGAATTATGGCAAGGCTCCTGTTTAAACTTTACCTTGTTAGATTATAATGCAGTGTTGGAGAGTTTATTCCTGTAGTAGTACAATAAAGGTATAATTCTTCAACATCCATCCCTATTATATAGTTTGGTGAACTTCTAATGGAACTTGGTACCTTTTTTTTTATTATTATACTTTAAGTTTTAGGGTACATGTGCACATTGTGCAGGTTAGTTACATACGTATATATGTGCCATGCTGGTGTGCTGCACCCACTAACTCGTCATCTAGCATTAGGTATATCTCCCAATGCTATCCCTCCCCCCTCCCCCCACCCCACAACAGTCCCCAGAGTGTGACGTTCCCCTTCCTGTGTCCATGTGATCTCATTGTTCAATTCCCACCTATGAGTGAGAATATGCGGTGTTTGGTTTTTTGTTCTTGCTATAGTTTACTGAGAATGATGGTTTCCAATTTCATCCATGTCCCTACAAAGGACATGAACTCATCCTTTTTTATGGCTGCATAGTATTCCATGGTGTATATGTGCCATATTTTCTTAATCCAGTCTATCATTGTTGGACATTTGGGTTGGTTCCAAGTCTTTGCTATTGTGAATAATGCCGCAAGAAACATACGTGTGCATGTGTCTTTATAGCAGCATGATTTATAGTCCTTTGGGTATATACCCAGTAATGGGATGGCTGGGTCAAATGGTATTTCTAGTTCTAGATCCCTGAGGAATCGCCACACTGACTTCACAATGGTTGAACTAGTTTACAGTCCCACCAACAGTGTAAAAGTGTTCCTATTTCTCCACATCCTCTCCAGAACCTGTTGTTTCCTGACTTTTTAATGATTGCCATTCTAACTGGTGTGAGATGGTATCTCACTGTGGTTTTGATTTGCATTTCTCTGATGGCCAGTGATGATGAGCATTTTTTCATGTGTTTTTTGGCTGCATAAATGTCTTCTTTTGAGCAGTGTCTGTTCATGTCCTTCGCCCACTTTTTGATGGGGTTGTTTGTTTTTTTTCTTGTAAATTTGTTTGAGTTCATTGTAGATTCTGGATATTAGCCCTTTGTCAGATGAGTAGGTTGTGAAAATTTTCTCCCATTTTGTAGGTTGCCTGTAACAATTGGCCTTCCAAAAGGGAATCTCTAGAGCAGCCTAGTATCACCACAGTTGTAAATATGAAATAGTACCTACAACCTACAAAAAGCTACTATTTCATATTTACAACTGTGGTGATACTGGGCTGCTCTAGAGATTCCCTTTTGGAAGGCCAATTGTTAGGCTCCTACTCTTTAACTTTTTGAGAAGAAGGTTCTTACCTTTCCTAAAATTGCAATGAATTCCTTGCAATTACACATTCATGGAAAGGAGATACCACCCCAGGAAAAATTCTCTACCCAGCAATTATAACCCAGCAACTTCAGCCACTTTTTCTCCACATCCTTCAATAGTCAAAAGAATTTCTGTCCTTGTATTCAAGCTTCCTAGAATTAATGTTATCTTTGATCCTGTATCTGAAATTTCCTATATTCTTGAATATTGTCCTTCATTCAAAGCAGTCATAAGGTTTAGGGTCTCTCCAGGCAGATCAGAGGTTTAATAGACCTGCATGTTAAGGACTTTGGGACAATTTGTCCTTCCCTATGGGAGGCTGGGCTTGATCTCTCAGACTTTAAGGCCAGGTTTCTTAAATTTAGAGAGATCAGGAAAAAAATCAAAGAAAATGCTTTAGGTGCTGTCTGTTTTTCTTGTGTGGGGAGGAGTTTATCCTTAAGATTTACAAAGTCCTTGTCTCAGTGTTCCCTCTCTTGGCTCCACTCCCAGTGATTTTGAAGTGGCTAGTTACTATCTGTGTGGAGGATTTGCTAGGGATGTTGCCATGGCTGCTATGCCTGCAAGTTTAGCTGATTCTTGTGTCCTATTGATCTCCTCTGAATCTCAGCAACTTGCCAGTGTTCCTCTTATGAATTGGGGGTCATGTTAGTCCAAATCTGATTACCCTTTTGTCTTAGGCCACAGGGAAATTATTGTGCAGACAGTGGACCAAATCCAAATCCAAATGTTTCCATTTAGCTAATTTTGCAGCAATTTCTCATGAAATTCATGCTTTCATTAAAAGCTTTGGGGAGTGGAAACACAACCCTCTGGGAGCGGACTTAAGATGTGAATTTCTAAAGCTGATAATCAGGTCATTCGGTTCACCTATCCTGTTGATCAGGACAGTAGCTTTTTGAAGTTCCTTCTTTCAAATCTCCTTGGTCCTTTGTTTACATGTTTTGTGTTTTCATGGCCAGGATTGCTCCAGTATTCCTTGCAAATCAACTTATGTTGGTCTCCATGCTTTCCTCACCCATGAAACAAAGCATTCATTTAATTGGGACGTCCACTTTCCCCCTCCTCACATATTGTATTCACTACCCTTCCTTTTTTATTGTGGTAAAATACACATAGCATAAAATTTATCATTTCAAGAATTTTTAAGTGTACAGTTGTATTAGTCCATTTTGACACTGCAGATAAAGATATACCCAAGACTGGGCAATTTACAAAAGAAATAGCTTTAATAGACTCACAGTTCTATGTGGCTGGGGAGGCCTCACAATCATGGTGGAAGGTGAAAAGCACATCTCACATGGCGGCAGACAAGAGAAGCGAACTTGTGCAGGGAAACTCCCCTTTATAAAACCATCATATCTCATGAGACTTACTGTCATGAGAATAGCGTGGGAAAGACCCACTCCCATGATTCAATAACCTTCCACCAGATCTCTCCCACAACACGGAATTGTGGGAGCTACAATTCAAGATAAGATTTGGGTGGGGACATGGCCAAACCATATCAACAGTTCTATGGCATTAAGTACACTCACATTGTTGTGCAAGCATCACCACCATCCATCTCTAGAATGTTTTCATATTCCTCAGCTGAAACTCTGTGCCCATTAGTTACTAACACTCCATTTCCCTCTCTCCCTAGCCCCTGGTAAATACCATTCTATGAATTTGGCTATTCTAGGAAACTCATATAAATAGAACCATACAATATTTGTCCTTCTGTGACTGGCTTATTTTACTTAGCATAATGTTTTCAAGGGTCATCGACGTTGTTGCAAGTGTCAGAATTTCATCCCTTGTTAAGGCTGAACAATATTTCATTGTATTTATGCACCACATTGTTTATCCATTCATCTGTTGAGGGACATGTGGGTTGTTTCCACTGTTTGGCTATTGTGCAAAGTTGCCATGGACATGGATATACAAATATCTGTTCAAGTTTCTGTTTGCATTTTGTTTGCCACCCCTTCTTTAAAAAAATTAAACATTCTTTTTAAAAAAAACTTTATTGAGTTATGATCTACATAGAATAACTCAAAGATTTTAAGGGTAGGGTTTTATGACTTTTGAAAAATATATACACCTGTGTAACCACTCCACAATGACCATAGAGGATATTTTCAGCAAGCCAGAATGTTTCCCCTTGTCTAAATGTAGGTCATCATCCATTCTGCCCACCCCTAACTTTGACCCACAGCTAAAGGAAACCACTGACCTACTTACTGTCACTGGAGATTAGCTTTTATTTTCTAAAGTTTAGTATAGATGGAATCAGGCACTGTGAGCTCTTAACGTTTCTGAGATTCATCCTTACAGTGGCATGTATCAGATGTACCATCCTCTTTATTGTTGAGTTCTGTTCTGTTGTAAGGATATACCACAATTTGTTTATCCATTCAACCATTGATGGACATTTGATTGTTTCCAGTTTAGGTCTATTATGAATAAAACTGTTATGATCATATGTTTTACATTCTCTTGGATAAATATCTAGGAATAAAATTGCTGAGTTGTATTAATAATGAACTTCCAGCTGGTTTTCCACAGCAACTATACTATTTTACATTGAAAAGAACATTGTGCAAGAGTTCTAGCCGCATCCTCCTCAGTGCTTTACATGAACAGTCTTTTTAGTTTTAGAAATTCTAGTATCTCGTGTAGTTTTAATTTGCATATGATTTTCATTTAAAGTGCATTCTAATTTAATCAATTAAATTCCTTGGTGACTAATGGTGTTGAACATATTTTCATGAGCTTGTATTTGCCATCTGTACGTCTTCTTTGGTAAAACAACAGTTCAGATGCTTAGCCTGTATTTATTGGGCTATTTATTTTATCACTGAATTGTCAGAATTCTTTACATATTCAAATACTTTTTGAATATAGATTTTGAAAGTATTTTCTCCCAGTCTATGGCTTATTTTTTAAAAATTAACTGTGCCTTTTACTGAACAAAAGTTAAATTTAGATGAAGTCTAATTTATTGATTTTTTTCATGCTGTTTGTTTTATATTTAAGAAATCTTTGTCAAACCCAAAGTCACTAAGAACTTCTTCTGTGCTTTCTTCTTGAAGCTTTTCTAGTTTTAACTCATACATTTAGATCAATGATCCATTTTGAGATAATTTTTACCTGTGAAATTTTTAGAATTTTAAAATATATAATGTACATTTTCTATACATATCAGCTAAAGATATTTGATAATTTATACACATGCCACCTCAATTATCATAGTGCTAAAAGTACAAACCTAAGAGTAATTTTAAAACATACACTGATCCATTTTGAGATAATTTTTACCTGTGAAATTTTTAGAATTTTAAAATATATAATGTACATTTTCTATACATATCAGCTAAAGATATTTGATAATTTATACACATGCCACCTCAATTATCATAGTGCTAAAAGTACAAACCTAAGAGTAATTTTAAAACATACACTAGAAATACTTGTACAGATGTAAATGTTGTGAAAATGTCCTGAGCTATACTCTGTGGTCTCCCATGACTCATTCTCTGTGCTGAGTCTCATTCAGAAAAAATAATCCAAGTTGGGTTCTTTTACACTCTTTTTATTGTTATTATTACTTCTTGAGATGGAGTCTCACTCTGTCACCCAGATTGGAGTGCAGTGGCGCAATCTCAGCTCCCGGCAACCTCCACCTCATGGGTTCAACCAATTATCCTGTCACAGTCTCCCAAGTAGTGGGGTCTACAAGCACCTGGCACCATGCCAAGCTAATTTTTGTATTTGTAGTAGAGACAAGGTTTCACCAAGTTGGCCAGGCTGGTCTTGAATTCCTGACCTAAGGTGATTCACCCGTCTTGGCCTCCCAAAGTGCTGGGATTACAGGCGTGAGCCACCACGCCTGGCCGGGTTCTTTTACACTCTGAGATAATAAAAAGTAGGCAATGTTTATTAAGCAATGCCCTTGGGATCCACTGTGGAAGCAAAGGCAAAAACATAAGACGAGACGGGAGACATTGATTTGTGATGTGGACATGACATCAATCTCGATAATCTTGACAACGAGCTCTTGAACTAAAATGGCTCTAACTCTCTGGGCTGAACTGGCTAAAATCTTTTACCCATGCTTACATCCATTGCTGGATGTGGGTCACCCCAGAAAGTGGAGGCAGTTCCTTAAGGGGCTGGCAGCACTTGGACAGTTGGGGCAATAAACCCTTTCTTGCAAAGGAAGGTAGGTAGCACAACTCCATGTCCATTACCGTCTACCCCTTGTTGCTCAGATCCACATTCTCATAAATATTTGGAAAACACTCTTCCAGGATTCCATTAGGCTTCTTTTCCTGGGGGAAACTTGGAAGAGAAGGAGTGGTGGGACAAATGTTAGTCCTTGTTGGTAAAGCTGGTCTCAGAGCCATAACTGGTACTCATTGCCTCCCCGTAGCATTACCCAATCTAGACCAGCCCTTTCTGAGCCCTCTGCTGCTCTGGGTGACTTTAGGTGGTGAGAATCAGACCCTAACGTTAAGGACTTGGAGCTCCTTGTCACCATGCCCTTCTGAGGCTAGGGCTGTTTAATTTGTCTATTTGCTTTCATAATTTTCAGGGAATCTTTAAGGATGCCCACACCTGGGTTCTGTGTGTATTTCTCCACATTCCAGTGATATAACAGCAGCCTATTCCTCCCTGATGATCAAGATTTATTGCCTCTGTCAAGATGACTATTTTCTCTTCTTACTTTCTGGTTCCTGGACACAAGGAAAATGAAGTGCCAAGAGCAGCCATAGTTATAGCTTAATGAGACTTCTGCTATGTCCACTGGAAGAAGTATTCCCCTTTGGGTACCAGGACCTTCAATGCTGCAGGACTGAAGGGGCGGGAGGTACGAATTCCACAAGTGATATTTAGAGTGATGGCAAACAGGGATATGTCTCCCTACATTTCTCAGTTCCTTCTTACTGGGGACACTGCACGACATAGAAATCTTTGAACTGTGGTATATGCTGCATTCTGGAGAATGTTCCATCATTTTCGTAAAGTATCACCTCTGAGCTGGTGTTTCCATGATCCTGTCACCAGGTTATTGCAATATTGTATCAGAATAGCAGCTTCTAGATGGGTTAGAGCTTGTTGTTACTGATGCATTTCTCTGTTATGGGCCTGCTCCCATATCTACTCTGCTGTATGTGGGACCCTGTGTGGGTGGAACAGGCACTCTGTGGGCAAGAAAGGGAAATCCATACCCAAAAGTTCTATTTCTTCTGTGATTGATCAGAATCAGTCACAGATCTTTTTAGGATAGAAGGGGAGCAGTGTAGACAACTTGCGGTCAAGTGGCTAGACAGTATCCTTGAGGAATGATCTCACATCATGGACTTGGCATTGGATTTTGTTCCTAGCAGACTGGACATTCAGAGGCAGCAGAAGTGAGATTCATCAGGAAAAGTGGCAGCCCATGCTGCTGTGCTGATGTCTAACCTCTGTCTCTATCACCATGACCACTTTTTAATGTGTCCGTTTTTCCAGCACTGGAATGGCCAAAGCCAGGCTGGCTAGTGTCAACTGGCTGAGGCATTTAATCTACTTCTTTGTTAAGTGCCTCTTCCATGGTGGGAGCTCTTGGATTGGTGTTAACTTTTAATATGAAGATTTTCCCACTTTATGCCCATTCCTATTTATCCATATATATAGTAAGGCTTGGTATCCATGGGAGATTTGTTCCAGGACCCCCATAGATACCAAAATCTGTGGATGCTCAAGTCTCTTTTATAAAATGGCATAATATTTGCATATAACCTACGCACATTTTTTCCTGTATACTATAAAACATATCTAGATTATTTACAATACCTAACACAATGCCTATACCTTACTTCATTCGAGTGAATTCAACCTAGTACTCACTGCATGACAAAATTCAAATTTTAATTTTTGGAAAGTTGTGGCATTTTTTTCCCCCTCAACATTTTTGATCCAAGGTTGTTTGAATCCACAGATGTAGAACCCTCAGATACAGAGGGCCGACTGTATTCCTTTCTGCCAGACCATTTTGTCTTCGATCTTCCAATCTTTCTTTTTTTCTAGGATTTTACCAGCTAGCCATTCCATTTGCCACTGCCCAGGAGTCCTTATATGTTCTAATCTCAGACTACTTCTTTTATTACCCAAAGGGGATGGCAAATGTACTGCCCCAAACTTTGTCAATTGAAATAATTGTCTGTGAGTTAGACTGTAGTGCCTTATATCCACATACTGAGCTGACCTGTCTGTAAACCAGTCTTGGGCACTTTGATCATCTGTCAGCTAGTCCTCAGGGATTCCCCTGCTGGGCCATAGGAGTGAGATGAGGAAGAGGTGTTGGCGCAACAGTGGTGCATGACATGCAGGCTGAGCCTAGCTGAGCTGGTGGATATGATAGCATTAAGGTCAACATGGAAAATTCTAGCCACATGGTCACATGGTGTCCCATAGTCTGGCTCTCAATTTGTGTGATGGCTCAGTAACACGCCATGAGTTGCATTTCAAAAGGTGTACATTCTCCATTGCAAGCTATGTGACCTTGCTCTAGTATCCCAGGAGCCTGTGATGTGATTTTCCCACTGGGACTTCCCATAAATTCCACATGATATCTTTCCCAACCACTGATATCTCTAATATAAGAGGATCTCATGGCTCAAGCGGTAGGGCACAGCTTGATCCTTACAAACAGTCCTGAAATGTCTTTGGCTTGATTTTATTTTAACTCTGTTACTCTTTTAGCACCATTTCCAAGAGCTGTGAATAAGGATCTGAGCAAAGTGACTTCACAGGACAGAAGCTTTAGCTGAGCTGTCAGGTGAGACACCTGATATGGATTCTGGGGAGGGCTGTGTTTACTCTGTAGTTTCTGGAGGATACTATCTGCTGTCCTTAATAGACGAGTTGCTTATGTCCAT
The DNA here is from genome assembly GCF_000001405.40 of Homo sapiens. Lineage (NCBI taxonomy): Eukaryota > Metazoa > Chordata > Mammalia > Primates > Hominidae > Homo > Homo sapiens. The sequence continues at coordinate 16,963,901 of NC_000008.11, read as the reverse complement.
AATGGGAATCCTGGTGGTGGTGGTAGGGCTGGTGTTAGAGTATGTGTATATATGTTTACTAAAATTGGAGTTGAGAGGGAAATACAGAAGAATAGCATAGAGGGATAGTAAAAGTCCTTCAAACTGGCTTCCTTTTTAAGCTAAGAAGGGGTAATGAGTTACCCTTTTGTATTTCCACTCCTCAGAGAGGCAAAAATGACCCCAGGTCTCCTACTACACCAAAATGGTAAAACATGGGAATAACATATACTGTTACTTTTCCTTGTTAGAAAAGAAAAATATGAAGTATTTATTCTAAAATCACAAATATTAGAATTTTTCGAGCTTGAGGACATCTTAGCTATCATCTCGTTCAATCTCTTCATTTTACAAATGAGGAAAATCTTTTATGGACTGTTCAATAAAACCATGAAACAGTTTTTTGTTTATAAGTTAGTAAGTGTATCCATATGCTTTTATACGGTTCTTTTATGATTTTGGCTAGCAATGATGAAATTAGCATGTTTTGATCTCTGTGCAACTTGTTCAGAAAGAACTTAAAAGAAGTATTTAGGAAAATCCAAGTGCTGAAACATTTAAGATATGCTTTGTGGTCTCAATTTTGTGTGATTGTCAGCCAGGAAGTTTTCTGATTGAGATGGCTTGCCAATTCCCTGCCAAATACATTATTTATTACACTAGTGGGGATTTCCTATTTGGGATGTTAAAGATAAAAATCTTACTGATAATATTTCCCATAAAATAATTGATGTAGGTCAATTGATACATTCTAATAAATTAAAATCAAGAACAAGACAGAGGTCCATAAAGACCTATAGGTATTTTATTGGCATATACTTATTCAAATATACCAGATTTAGTCATATTAAAGATTTCTGATTCACCGTTGACAGTGAAACTTGAAACTGAATGTAACTGAATTTATATTTCTTTTCTTAGATCTATTTCTTTGTAAGAATGAAATAACTTTTAGCAAGGACTGAATGTTGTTGGATTAAAGTGGCAGTTATGATACCATGGTGATGTATACGAAATTTTATAATTTCACGAGTTCGCTAAATTATAGGGAGACTTCTGCATCCTCGTGTGTTTCTGTGTATGTGTACATGTGTTTGTGTATGTGTACATGTGTATGTGTATGTATATGTGTATGTGTGCTTACAGTGATAACACCAAAGGGAGATGGGTTTCAAGCATCTAGTAAAGAATAAATACATGTAGGTAATTAAATTAACATATACTCTAAATTACACCTGGTTTTAACCAGGTAGCAAAAACATATATATTTTTTTTAAGAGGTAGTCTCATGCTTTCACTCAAGCTGGAGAGCAATGGCAAGATCATGGCTTACTGCAGGCTTGATCTCCTGGACTCAAGCAATCCTTCCACCTCAGCCTCCTGAGTAGGTAATAGCTGGTACTACAGGTACACACCACCAAGCTAAATTTTAAAAGTGATTTGTTGAAATGGGGTCTCTGTTTTGTTGCCTAGGCTGGTCTTGAAGTCCTGGCTTTAAGCCAGGGTGTCCAATCTTTTGGCTTCCCTGGGCCACATTGGAAGAAGAATTGTCTTGGGCCACACATAGAACAAACGAATGATAGCTGGTGAGCTAAAAAAAGAAAATCGCAAAAAAATCTCATAATGTTTTAAGAAAGTTTATGAATTTGTGTTGGGCCGCATTCAAAGCTGTCCTGGGCTTTATTCAAAGCCGTCCCGGGATGCATGCAGCCCGTGGGTTGTGGGTTGCTTTAAGTGATCCTCTTGCCTTGGCTTCCCGAAGTTCTGGGATTACATACATGGGCCACCAGCACTGGCCTGGAAAAGATTTTAATAATTACACATTTGTAATTTATTTGTAAAATTAAAATAAATTTTAAAATTGCAGTTTGTGGTCAGTGCTATGAAGGAAAAGAACAAGACTGTAAGAAAGATCAGCTGAGCGAGGTGGCTCACACCTCTAATAGAAGAACTTTGGGAGGCCGAGGAGGGCAGATCACCTGAGGTCAGGAGTTCGAGACCAGCCTAACCAACATGGAGAAACCCCATCTCTATTAAAATACAAAAAATTAGCCAGGTGTGGTGGCGCATGCCTGTAATCCCAGCTACTGTGGAGACTGAGGTAGGAGAATCACTTGAACCTGGGAGGCAGATGTTGCAGCGAGCCAAGATTGTGCCATTGCACTCCACCCTGGGCAACAAGAGCAAAACTCCATCTCAAAAAAAAAAAAAAAAAAAAAAAAGAAAAGAAAGATCACAGAGGCGTCTCCTTTAGTTGAGACAATCAGAAAAGGAAAGAAAAGATCTTTCTGAAGAATGAATAGGAGTTGAAAACAGAGTTTGTGCAGTTTGGATGTGGGAGGCAGGGTGTGTATAGACAGCGATCTAGACGATAGGATGATAAAGATCTTGCAGTTGGAAAACAGTGTGACATGTTCCAAAAACTAAAAGAAGGCCAGATGGCTAAATAGGTAGTGGGGCCAGCATAGCATGAGATGAAATTGAAGAGATTGACATGGACGGGCCATATCATGACAACCCCTATGGGCCACAGTGAGTTATTTGAGTCTCTTTTTAGTGCAATGGAAAGTCATAGAAGGATTTTAAGCAGGAGAGTGACACCATTTCATCTATACATTTAAAAGACCACATTGGTGCAGGATCTGTGGCTCATCCCTGTAAACCCAGCACTTTGGGAGGCTGAGGTAGGAGGATCGCTTGAGCCCAGGAGTTCAAAACCAGCCTGGGCAACATGGTGAAACTCCATCCCTATAAAAAAAAATACAAAAGTTAGCTGGGCATGGTGGTGCATGCCTGTAGTCTCAGCTACTTGGGAGGCTGAGGCAGGAGAACTCATTGAACTCAGAAGTTCTGGGTTGCAGTGAGCGGAGATCACGCCACTGTATTTCAGCCTGGGCAAAAGAGCCAGACTGTATCTCAAACAACAAAAACAAAAACAATAACAACAACAAAACCCCAAAAAACACATTGGCTGCAAAATAAACATTGGGTTAGACTGAGGTAAAAGTGGAAGAAAATAGAAATTGTTTGGAGAAAATTGCGTTAGCCTAGGTGAAAGAGTTGCAACAGTTTGGACTGGCATGTTGGCTATGAGAAGGGAGAGTAATGGGTGGACTTGGGGTATTTTGACGGTAAAATTAGTGGATCTTAGTGATACATTAAAGGTAGGGATAAGAGAGAGCTGTATCAAGCTATGCCCAGATTTTTGGCTCGAGTAAATAGATGTGTGTGTGTGTGTGTGTGTGTGTGTGTTTGTGTGTGTGTGTGAGACAGAGAGAGACAGAGAGAGAGAGAGGGAGTCTCATTTATTAAAATAATATGAGACTGGAGGATAAAAATTGTGTAGAAAATAACAAGTTCAGTTTTGAAATGTTCATTTTTTGATATGAGTGAGATGATCAAGTGACTAGGTCAAGTAAGGAATTGGATATATATGGGTCTGGAAATGTAGGCTAGAGATATAATTTTGGAATTATTGGCATATAGATGCTAGGGAGAAAAAAATGAAAGTTCTGAGTTACATGAGGTCAGATGGAAGAGAAAGATAATTTAAAGAGAGGGAAGGAGATGCTAGATAAGAAGAAAATCAGGAAAGTTTTGCATCACACAGATCAAAAGAGTATTTCTAGGAGTGAGTAATCAACTGTGTTGTATGCTACTGGAAGGTCAAAGAAGATGAGAGCTAAAAAACTATTAATCGCATTTGGCTACGTGGGAGTCAATGGCGGACTTCAAGAACAAGAGGGACAGATGTTATTTTGAAGTGAGTGGAAGAGTGAAAGCAAGATGAGCAGCAGGAGAAAAGATGTAAGACAAGTGGGGTGAATACTATTTTTTTTTACCCGTGGCTATTTCCCCAATACTAATGGAACCCCTGTTCTTTCAGTGGTATCGGAGTGCTCAGATTCCTTAAAGAAGCTTGTGCACCTTCCAAATTGTAGGGAGCGAATTGCTATTGTCCACATCAATCATAGTAGTGTCATTCATCTTGCCATATGATTGGTATATCCATGAGCATTTTACACAATCTTGCCAATATCTTCCTCCCAGTCTTAACATACGATAATACCCATATTCCAATAAAATATTATTGCATTTAACAAAACAGCTTTAATTTGGGGGTATAATTTCAAAACTTCAGTACTGCTTATAAGCAATTACTCTACCCTGAAAAATCTTTCACTATCTAACATGAAAAGAATTATAATTATTATAATTTATTGCTTTCTTGCTATATGCCAGACATGGTATAATGTGCTCTATGTATACAATATTTCAGCCAAACCCCCAACAACTTTGTGAAGCAACATTACTCTTATTTTTCAAACGAGGTATTTAAGACTTAGAGAAATTAAATACCCAAGGTGATAATCAGGTAAATGGGAGAAGCCATTGGTGACTTACTCAACCCATCAGAATCACTCATTCCCTACAAAATAAAATATACTTACTATTACATCTATTAAAGGGATGTTTTGCCCCTGTGCTCATCTATTCTTGCCTGTTTTCTTCCTTGCTCAGACTTGCCCTTTTGATTCTATTGGCTTTCAGCCAACTATTACACATGAAGATTAAATATGTTGATTTTACCAGGCAGAGCCTTCTGTAATGATAAGCTTTCTCTGAAGACATTGGAGAAGGGGTTGGGTTACTTAAGGACTGATCATAATAAGAAGCATAAATTAACAATTTTGTTACCATGCAAATTTATATTAGATTAAAGGACAAAAGTGAATATTATAAAGGGAAATCAAAGAAATATTACACAGAATTATACAACACTGACAAAGTTGGATTTTGGTGGAATATTTAAATTTTCTTTTGGAAAGCATGCAAATACATAGTGTTTTGAAAATGGAGAGTAGCTAATTAAGGCAAAGTGTACTCTGCTAGGAATCAGATAATCACACTTTTATTTAAGGCTGTAGTGTTCTGAGACCAAAGTAGGGCTCATACCTATTTTGAATCTGTTTCCTCATCTGTAAAATGGACATAAAGTTGTCTTATTTTCAAGACTGAAGTTCAAATGAAACAATGAAAAACAAAATATCCTAGTCATAGTAATAGCATTCACACAACAGGCACTTATTTCATGTCTACTTTGTTTTAGGTACTGTAGTAACCTATAGTTTACTACAAATAGCAGAACAAATATAACAAATACATAAACATTATGTAAATAGACGATAAACGTTGTAGTGAAAATGTGTAAAGTTATACAGAATACAGGATTGTAGATGTGGTGAGAATGAGGCTGGAATAGTAAACTGGGCAGATAATATAAAAGGCATGAATGATTTGGGCTGTTATTCACAGCAATGTTCTTATTGAAAGTTTCTTAGTATAGAAATAATATATATGAATGTAATAAAGATGGTGACTTTTTGATAAATTCGAAGGGGAAGTGTGAGAGTTACAGAAATCAGTTACCTTGCTATTTCCAAAACCCAGAAGAGACTTGGTGAGTCTCAGGTAGGCTTGACAACATAGATAGGAAGGGATGGTGTCTCTGTTAACTTTTGTTGCTTAGCGAACCACACCAAACTGAGTGGCTGCAGCAAAGAATGATTTATTATTTCTCATCAATCTATGGGTTGGCTAGATGATTCTACCATTGATCTTTCTTGGGCTCATTCCTATGGTTGCAATCACATTATGGCTTGAAAGCCTGCATGGTTCAAGATGGATTTACTCATGTGTCTGGTTGTTCTTGCTAACTGTGGGGTAAGTCATCTCTCCTCTCCTCCATGTGGCCTTTTCTCCTGGAAGCTAGACTAACTTCCTTTCACCATTGTGGTCTCACAGCAGAGTTTCAAGAGGACAAGCCCCAAGGTCTATGTGCTTATCAGAACTCTATTTGTGTCACATCTCCTGATGTCCCACTGGCCAAACCAAGTCACATGGCCAAATCCAGTCAAAGCAGGAGGAAGGTTAGATTACACCTCAGGATGGGAGGAGTGGCAAATAATTTGCATCTATTTTTAATCTATCAAAGATGTTTTGGGGAATTTTAGAGGCAAAATTGATGGCATTGGGAGAAAAATGAGATGTGGGAAATAGGAAGAGGGAAGATTAAAGACGACTTGGGTAAGGAGAAGTTTAATTAGGTCCCAGCTATTTATCTTTGTTTTTATTGCATTTCCTTTTGGGTTCTTGGTCATGAAATCCTTGCCTAAGCCAATGTCTAGAAGGGTTTTTCCAATGTTATCGCCTGAAGATATTTTTTAATTCAAGAAAAAAGTCAAGTGATAAACAATTTTTTGATATAAATTCATAACTGAGTATTTCATACTGAAATAGAAACCTTAAAGCCATTGAGACAACAGGAAAGGTCATTTGAAAATTAACACTAATCTGCCTGAGAATATACAGGACATGAATCACAATAACTCTCTGAACTGCATATAGCCATAGCATAAAACTGTTCATGAATCTGACTGAACAGTGTTAATAGAAAATTCAAAGGAACAGTTAATGTCACTGAATAGCTATTGAGTGAGGAGTGGAAAGCTACTTAAATTAAAACAAAATTCTAAATGCTTATTATTTAAATCTTTATTTAAAAAAATTTTCCCTGCAGAAATATATGAATGGTAATGATAAGAATGAGATGATGCAACCCACCACATGATATCAAAGGACTAACCCACATACACTATGGATTTAAACATGGGCACTACCTTGGCATGAAACTCAGAGTCTGATTGAGACCTGGATTCAGACGATTAATTTCCTGAGTCATTTTATGTTGGCTACATGAGGGAGGGATTGCGGAGTCTGGAAGGTTGATTTTAGTTTCCAGTTAATATTGTAGAATTGTCTGTTTCTCATATCTATTCTGTGAGTTTTTGCTTCATGTATTTTGAGGCTCTGTTGTTAGGCACATGTAGGTTTATAATTATTATGTCTTCGGGATGGATTGATTCTTTTATTATTATAAAATGTCCTTTATGTCTCTAATAACAATTGTTGTCTCAAAATCTATTTTATCTGACATTAGTGTAGCCACTGCAGCTCTCTTTCAGTTACTGTTTGCAGGATGTGTCTTTTTTCTATGCTTTTGTTCTTTTATTTTCAACTCATTTGTGTTTATAAGTGTAACTGTATCTCTTGTAGACACATGCATGTTGTTGGGTCCTTTAAAAAATCAGTTCTGCTAATATATGCCTTTTGGTTGGAGTGTTTTATTCATTTAAATTTAATGCAATTATTGATAAGGTAATATATGTGTCTGACATTTTGCTATTTTCTATATACCTTGTATCTTCTTTGTTCCTCTTTAATCTCAGTTATTGCTTTCTTTTATTCTAAATAGATATCTCCTAGGTTTACTATGTTTTCTGGGTTGTTTAACATATTTTAAACTAACATTTAGAATCACCTAGGTTGAGAATCACCTTCATGACAATCACCTAAATTGCTTATTATAAATCAAAATTTCCTAGCCTTATGTTAGATTTACCACATCAAAAGTTTTGGGTTTTTTTTCCCCTGAAATTTGTCTTGTTCACAAACTCCATGTGATTCTTATGCTCCTTAATTTGAGAAAAAATACATAGAGAAAACGCTTTTTCTTTTCTGGTCTCAAATATTAGGAGAGAAAGAGGAAACCAAGGTTAATTAAAGTTTCAATACCCCAGCGTCTGTTCTAGACATTTAAAATACATTACTTATTTACTCATCACAAAACCTCTATGGTATCCATATTATCCTCATCTCTTGTTAATTAACTTTCCTAGCACATATAGATAATAAGTAGCAAAGTCAAAATTTAAATTCAAGGTTCTCTAGTGAACAAAGAGGAAAAGATAATTCCAGACAATGTAGGACTAATTACAGAAAATAAAACACCCAGTAGAATATGAAAGGAGAGAGAATATGTGCGCTTTGTTTTCTCTTCCTGGTAAGAGATTTCTAAGGATTGTTTAATGCAAAAGAACGTAGACATCCAGTTTGAATTGTGGTACTAATCTACGTGAGAAATATCAGAGAAGTCTAAGATTTAAAAATTATCTATGCCCCATGAGTCTTAAAATAGCTGCAGTTCAATTGAAACTCAAAACAACTTTTAGAACCTAGACCTCCTACTGTCTTCCCAAAGTCTCAGAAGCAAGTATCAATGTGATTAAAACTCCCATGAGTTTTAGATGTTTATTTTTTTAAAGTTAGTTATGCACATGTAAAAAACTTTCTATTCCAAAAAAGATCAGGCCATAGATGAAGAGTCCTGTAATCTGTGGGCATCTATAGATATAAGAGAAAGGGTATAGACTTGGAGTGAGAAAATATGAGTCTGAGTTCTGATTTTGCCACTTATTAGCTGCATGATCTTAGGCAGATAAATAATTTTAGCATTAATTCTCTCATTATGGAAAAGGGTATAGTAATAATCTTGCTTGTTTCATGCAGTCAATGTGAAGATCAAGTGTGATAGTATACATATATGAAATTATTTTGCATTTGAAAATGGGGAGCCATCTATCACTTTATGGGTATTTGAGCTTTATGTTTTAGAATCATCTTTGGAATAAGCATTAATAATAATAATAATTCTTCCTGTGTAGTAGAAAGAGGGTCTAGAATTAATGAAACTCAAATCTGCATACCTTTACAAGTCTGCAAATAATAATTTCCATCTTGTTTTAACAAAATTAATTTTTAATAGTGGTGAAAATTATCTCAAAATTTTACAAATGCTATTCCATGCTTTAGTTCATTAATTTAAAAAATGAGAATAAATCTGATTTTTTCCATTTATTGTGAGGATTGTTAGATGAGGCATGCAAATGTGTTCTATAAGATGGGAAGAGCTACACAAATGCTATCAAAAACTATCTGTGGTTTTCGAAACATGCATTTTACTAAGCAATTAAATAAACAGTCTTTTAACCTTTTGTATCATCTTTTAAAAATTAATAAACTTAATTTTTAGAGAAGTTTTAGGGTCACAGAAAAATTGTGCAGAAAGTAGAGAGAGTTCTCATATACCCGGTGTCCCCAAGCACACACAATCTCTCCTGCTATGGACACCATTCATTCTAGTGGGTACATTTGTTGACATGCAATTGAGACATTGACATACATACGTTGATATACGCCTGTTAGCCCAAATATATAGTTAACATTATAACTCACTATTGGTGTTGTGCATACTTTAGGTTTTGAAAAACATGTGCTATGTATCCATCTTATAGTATCACACAGAGTATTTTCACTGCCCTAAAAACTCTGTGTTCTGCTTATTCACCTTTCTTCCCCAACCCCATCTCCTGGCAACCACTGATGTTTTTACTGTCTCCATAGTTTTGTCTCTTCCAGAATGTCATATTGTTGGAATCATACAGTAGGCAGTATTTTCAGATTGGCTTCTTTCACTTTGTAATATGCATTTAAGTTTCTTTGTGTCTTTTCATGTTTGATAGCCATTTCTTTTTATTTTTCTTTAAAAAAAATTATGTATAGAGAGGCTGAAAGTGTAGATTTCTTACATGCACATATTGCCTGGTAGTGAAGTCTGGGTTTTTCGTGTACCTGTTACATGAATAGTGAACATTGTACCCAGTAAGTAATTTATTCAACCTCAACCCCCTCCCACCCTCCCACATTTTGTAGTCTCTTTTGTTTTTAGTCATTCTAATACTCTATTGTTCTGGCTATATCACAGTTTACTTACACATTCACCTACCGAGCGGTATCTTGGTTGCTTCCAAGGTTTGTCAAGTGTGGATACAGCTGCTATAAACATCTGTGTGCAGGTTTTGGTTTGGACATAGTTTTCAACTCACTTGGGTAAATAACAATATGCTTACTTGCTGGATTGTGTGGTAAGAGTATGTTTACTTTTATAAGAAACTGACAAACCATCTTTGAAGGTGCCTGTTCCATTTTACATTTCTACTAGCAATGAATGAGTGTTCCTGTTGCTCCACATCTTTGCCAGCATTTGGTGTTAGTGTTTTGAATTTTGGCCATTCTGATAGGTATGTATTGGCACCTCATTGTTGTTTTATTATTATTATTTTGAAAATCTGTTTACTTTAATTTTGTGGGTAAATAATAGGTATGTATATTTAAGGGTTACATGAGGTATTTCAGTACAGGCATGCAATTTGTAATAATAACATCCTGAAGAATGGAGTATCCATCTTCTCAAGCATTTATCCTTTGTGTTACAAACAATCCAATTATATTCTTTTAGTTATTTTAAAACTGTACAATTAGATTATTATTGACTATAGTCCCCTGTTTTGCTATCAAATACTAGGTCTTATTTATTCTTTCTATTTTTTGTAACCATTAACCATCCCCACCTCCTTTCATCCCCACACTACCTTTCCCAGCCAGCCTCTGATAACCATCCTTCTATTCTCAATCTCCATGAGTTCAATTATGTTGATGCTTAGATCCGTATAGAGTTGTTTCAGCTCCTTATATATTCTAGTTATTAATTCCTTGTCAGATGAGTAGTTTGCAAATATTTTCTCTCATTCTGTGGGTTGTCTCTTCACTTTGTGGATTGTTTCCTTTGCTGTGAAGAAGCTTTCTAACTTGATGTAATCCCATTTGTCCATTTTTGTCTTGGTTGCTTGTGCTTGTGGGGTACTACTCAAGAAATTTTTGCCCAGACTAATGTCCTGGATAGTTTCCCCAATGTTTTCTTGTAGTAGTTTCACAGTTTGAGATCTTAGATTTAAGTCATCAATCCATTTTGATTTGATTTTTGTGTAGGGCAAAATATATGGGTCTCATTTCATTCTTCTGCATATGGATATCCAGTTTTCAAAGCACCATTTATTGAAGAGACTACTGTTTCCCCAGTGTATGTTGTTGGCATCTTTGTCAAAAATGAGTTCACTTTAGGTATGTGGATTTGTTTCTGGCTTATGTACTCTGTGTCATTGGTCTATGGGTCTGTTTTTATGCCAGTACCATGCTGTTTTGGTACTATTGCTTTTAGCATAATTCGAAGTCAGGTAATGTGATTTCTCCAGTTTTGTTCTTTTTACTCAGGAGAACATTGGCTATTCTGGGTCTTTTGTGATTCCATATAAATTTTAGTATTTTTTTTCTATTTTTGTGAAGAATGTCATCGGTATTTTGATAGGGATTACATTAAATCTGTGGTTTGCTTTAGGCAGTATGGATATTTTAACAGTATTGATTCTTCCAACTCATGAACATGGAATTTTTTTTTGTATGTGGGTGTGTCCTCTTCAATTTCTTTCATCAGTATTTTATAGTTTTCATTGTAGAGATCTTTCACTTCTTTGGTTAATTCCTAGGTATTTAGTTTTATTTGTGGCTATTGTAAATGGGATTACTTTCTTCATTTCTTTTTCAGATTGTTGACTCTGGCATATAGATATGCTATTGCTTTCCGTATATTGATTTTGTATCCTGCAATTTTACTGAATGTGTTTGTCAGTTCTCATCGTTTTTGGTGGAGTCTTTGGTTTTTTTCCAAATATAAAATCAAATCATCTGCAAACAAAGGTAATTTGACTTCTTCCTTTCAAATTTGGATGCACTTTGGTAAAGTTAATTTCGAGGTATTTAGTTTAATTTGTGGCTATTGTAAATGGGATTACTTTCTTCATTTCTTTTTCAGATTGTTGATTCTGGCATACAGATATGCTATTGATTATTCTATACTGATTTCTCTAGCTAGGACTCTCAATACTATGTTGAATAACAGTGAAAGTGGATATCCTTGTGGTGTTCCAGATCTTACAGGAGAGACTTTCAATTTTTTTCCCATTCAGTATGACACTAGCTGTGTGTCTGTGATTTATGGCTTTTATTATGTTGAGGTATGTTCTATCTATACCCAGTTTTTAGGGGGTTTTGATGCTAAAGGGATGTTGTACTTTATCAAATAGTTTTTCAGCATCAGTTGAAAGGATCATGTGGTTCTTGTCTTTCATTCTGTTGACACGATATATTACATTAATTGATTTCCATATGTTGAACCATACTTGCATACCTGGGATAAATCCCACTTGGTCATGATGCGTGATTTTTCTAATGTCCTGTTGAATTCAGTTTGCTAGTATTTTGATGAGGATTTTTGCATCAATGTTCATCAGAGATATTGGCCTGTAGTTTAATTTTTTATGTGTCTTTGGTTTTGATATCAGGGTAATACTTGCCTTCTAGAATGAGTTTGAAAGTACTCCCTCCTGTTTTTTTTCGGAAAAGTTTGAGTAGGATTGATATTACTTCTTCTTTAAATGTTTGGCAGAATTTAGCAGTGAAGCCATGAGGTCCTGGGCTTTTCTTTAATGGGAGACTTTTTATTGTGGCTTTTATCTCATTACTTGTTATTGGTCTGTTCGTGTTTTGAATTTCTTCATGATTTAATCTTGGTAGATTGTATGTGTCTAGAAATTTATTCATTTCTTCTAGATTTTCCAATTTTTCGGCTGATAATTGCTCATAGTAGCCACTAATGGTCCTTTGAATTTCTGTCATATCAGTTGTAATGTTTATTTTTTTACCTTTGATTTTATTTATTTGGGTCTGCTCTTTCTTTCTTAGTCTGGCTAAGGGTTTTTCAGTTTTGTTTATCTTCTCAAAAAACCCAGCTTTGTTTCATTAATCTCTTACATTGTTCTTTTCATTTCAAAATAATTTATTTCTGCTCTTTATTATTTCTTTTATTCTACTAATTTTGGATTTGGTTGCTCTTGCTTTATAGTTCTTTAGTATGCATCATTAGGTTATTTATTTGAATTTTTTTTTCTTTTTCATGTAGGCATTTATGGCTATAAGTTTCTCTCTTAGCACTGCTTTCACTGTATCCCATAGATTTCGGCATGTTGGGTTTCCATTATCATTTATTTCAAGGAAATTTTCAATTTCCTCTTTAATTTCTTCACTGACACACTGGCCATTCAGGAGCATACTGTTTGATTTCCATGTGTTTATATAATTTCAAAAATTCCTCCCATTATTGATTTCTAGTTTTATTCCACTGTGTTCAGAGAAAATGCTTGATATTATTTCAATTTTTTTAATGGTTGAAGACTTGTTTTGTGATTTAACATGTTATCTAACATTGAGAATGACCCATGTGCTGAGGAGGAGTATGTGTATTCTGCAGCCTTTGGATATGTTCTGTAAATATCTATTAGGTCCATTTTTTCTATAGTGCAGATTAAATTCGGGGGTTCTTTGTCGAATTTCTGTCTGGGAGATATGTCCGTTGCTGAAGGTGGGGTGTTAAAGTCTCTAGCTATTATTGTACTGAGGTCTCTCTCTCTTTAGCTCTGATAATATTTACTTTATATATCTGGGTGCTCCAGTGTTGATTGCATATATATTTATACTTGTATCTTCTTGCTGAATCAGCCCCTTTATCATTATGTAATAACTTCTTTGCCTCTTCTTATAGCTTGTGTCTTAAAATATATTTTGTCTGATATGAACATAGCTATTCTTGCTCTTTTTTGGTTTCCATTGGCATGGACTATCTTTTCCTGTCCCTTTATATTTAGTCCATGTGTATCTTTATAGGTGGAATGTGTTTCTTGTAGGCCACAGATCACTGGGTCTTGTTTTTTCATCCATTCAGCTACACTATTTCTTTTGATTGGATAATTTAGCCCGTTTACATTCAGTGTTATTGATAAGTATGAACTTATGTATTTTGCTATTTGTTTTCTGGTGTTTTTTTGTCTTCACTTCCTTCTTTCCTTTCTTCCTGTCTTCCTTTTAGTGAAGATGATTTTCCCTGATGGTGTGCTCTAATTTATTGCTTTTTATTTTTTGTGTACTTATTGTATGTTTTTTAATTTGAGGGTACCATGAGGCTTGCAAATAAAATACTCTCTTATAACCCATTATTTTATTTTTTTAATTTTTTTGTTTGTTTTCTTTTTTTTAAATATTTTTTTAATTATACTTTAAGTTTTAGGGTACATGAGCACATTGTGCAGGTTAGTTACCTATGTATACATGTGACATGCTGGTGCGCTGCACCCACTAACTCGTCATCTAGCATTAGGTATATCCCCCAATGCTATCCCTCCCCCCTCCCCCCACCCCACAACAGTCCCCAGAGTGTGATATTCCCCTTCCTGTGTCCATGTGATCTCATTGTTCAGTTCCCACCTATGAGTGAGAATATGTGGTGTTTGGTCTTTTGTTCTTGTGATAGTTTACTGAGAATGATGATTTCCAATTTCATCCATGTCCCTACAAAGGACATGAACTCATCATTTTTTATGGCTGCATAGTATTCCATGGTGTATATATGCCACATTTTCTTAATCCAGTCTATCATTGTTGGACATTTGGGTTGGTTCCAAGTCTTTGCTATTGTGAATAATGCCGCAAGAAACATATGTGTGCATGTGTCTTTATAGCAGCATGATTTATATTCCTTTGGGTATATACCCAGTAATGGGATGGCTGGGTCAAATGGTATTTCTAGTTCTAGATCCCTGAGGAATCGCCACACTGACTTCCACAATGGTTGAACTAGTTTACAGTCCCACCAACAGTGTAAAAGTGTTCCTATTTCTCCACATCCTCTCCAGCACCTGTTGTTTCCTGACTTTTTAAAGATTGCCATTCTAACTGGTGTGAGATGGTATCTCATTGTGGTTTTGATTTGCATTTCTCTGACGGCCAGTGATGATGAGCATTTTTTCATGTGTTTTTTTGGCTGCATAAATGTCTTCTTTTGAGCAGTGTCTGTTCATGTCCTTCGCCCACTTTTTGATGGGGTTGTTTGTTTTTTTCTTGTACATTTGTTTGAGTTCATTGTAGATTCTGGATATTAGCCCTTTGTCAGATGAGTAGGTTGTGAAAATTTTCTCCCATTTTTTAGGTTGCCTGTTCACTCTGATGGTAGTTTCTTTTGCTGTGCAGAAGCTCTTTAGTTTAATTAGATCCCATTTGTCAATTTTGTCTTTTGTTGCCATTGCTTTTCGGGTTTTGGACATTAAGTCCTTGCCCATGCCTATGTCCTGAATGGTGATGCCTAGGTTTTCTTCTAGGGTTTTTATGGTTTTAGGTCTAACGTTTAAGTCTTTAATCCATCTTGAATTGATTTTTTGTATAAGGTGTAAGGAAGGGATCCAGTTTCAGCTTTCTACATATGGCTAGCCAGTTTTCCCAGCACCATTTATTAAATAGGGAATCCTTTCCCCATTGCTTGTTTTTCTCAGGTTTGTCAAAGATCAGATAGTTGTAGATATGCGGTGTTATTTCTGAGGGCTCTGTTCTGTTCCATTGATCTATATCTCTGTTTTGGTACCAGTACCATGCTGTTTTGGTTACTGTAGCCTTGTAGTATAGTTTGAAGTCAGGTAGTGTGATGCCTCCAGCTTTGTTCTTTTGGCTTAGGATTGCCTTGGTGATGCGGGCTCTTTTTTGGTTCCATATGAACTTTAAAGTAGTTTTTTCCAATTCTGTGAAGAAAGTCATTGGTAGCTTGATGGGGATGGCATTGAATCTGTAAATTACCTTGGGCAGTATGGCCATTTTCATGATATTGATTCTTCCTACCCATGAGCATGGAATGTTTTTCCATTTGTTTGTATCCTCTTTTATTTCCTTGAGCAGTGGTTTGTAGTTCTCCTTGAAGAGGTCCTTCACATCCCTTGTAAGTTGGATTCCTAGGTATTTTATTCTCTTTGAAGCAATTGTGAATGGGAGTTCACTCATGATTTGGCTCTCTGTTTGTCTGTTGTTGGTGTATAGGAATGCTTGTGATTTTTGCACATTGATTTTGTATCCTGAGACTTTGCTGAAGTTGCTTATCAGCTTAAGGAGATTTTGGGCTGAGACAATGGGGTTTTCTAGATATACAATCATGTTGTCTGCAAACAGGGACAATTTGACTTCCTCTTTTCCTAATTGAATACCCTTTATTTCCTTCCTCTGCCTAATTGCCCTGGCCAGAACTTCCAACACTATGTTGAATAGGAGTGGTGAGAGAGGGCATCCCTGTCTTGTGCCAGTTTTCAAAGGGAATGCTTCCAGTTTTTGCCCATTCAGTATGATATTGGCTGTGGGTTTGTCATAGATAGCTCTTATTATTTTGAAATACGTCCCATCAATACCTAATTTATTGAGAGTTTTTAGCATGAAGGGTTGTTGAATTTTGTCAAAGGCTTTTTCTGCATCTATTGAGATAATCATGTGGTTTTTGTCTTTGGCTCTGTTTATATGCTGGATTACATTTATTGATTTGCATATATTGAACCAGCCTTGCATCCCAGGGATGAAGCCCACTTGATCATGGTGGATAAGCTTGTTGATGTGCTGCTGGATTCGTTTTGCCAGTATTTTATTGAGGATTTTTGCATCAGTGTTCATCAAGGATATTGGTCTAAAATTCTCTTTTTTGGTTGTGTCTCTGCCAGGCTTTGGTATCAGAATGATGCTGGCCTCATAAAATGAGTTAGGGAGGAGTCCCTCTTTTTCTATTGATTGGAATAGTTTCAGAAGGAATGGTACCAGTTCCTCCTTGTACCTCTGATAGAATTCGGCTGTGAATCCATCTGGTCCTGGACTCTTTTTGGTTGGTAAACTATTGATTATTGCCACAATTTCAGCTCCTGTTATTGGTCTATTCAGAGATTCAACTTCTTCCTGGTTTAGTCTTGGGAGAGTGTATGTGTCGAGGAATTTATCCATTTCTTCTAGATTTTCTAGTTTGTTTGCGTAGAGGTGTTTGTAGTATTCTCTGATGGTAGTTCATATTTCTGTGGGATCGGTGGTGATATCCCCTTTATCATTTTTTATTGTGTCTATTTGATTCTTCTCTCTTTTTTTCTTTATTAGTCTTGCTAGCGGTCTATCAATTTTGTTGATCCTTTCAAAAAACCAGCTCCTGGATTCATTAATTTTTTGAAGGGTTTTTTGTGTCTCTATTTCCTTCAGTTCTGCTCTGATTTTAGTTATTTCTTGCCTTCTGCTAGCTTTTGACTGTGTTTGCTGTTGCTTTTCTAGTTCTTTTAATTGTGATGTTAGGGTGTCAATTTTGGATCTTTCCTGCTTTCTCTTGTGGGCATTTAGTGCTATAAATATCCCTCTACACACCGCTTTGAATGCGTCCCAGAGATTCTGGTATGTTGTGTCTTTGTTCTCATTGGTTTCAAAGAACATCTTTATTTCTGCCTTCATTTCGTTATGTACCCAGTAGTCATTCAGGAGCAGGTTGTTCAGTTTCCATGTAGTTGAGCGGTTTTGAGTGAGATTCTTAATCCTGAGTTCTAGTTTGATTGCACTGTGGTCTGAGAGATAGTTTGTTATAATTTCTGTTCTTTTACATTTGCTGAGGAGAGCTTTACTTCCAAGTATGTGGTCAATTTTGGAATAGGTGTGGTGTGGTGCTGAAAAAAATGTATATTCTGTTGATTTGGGGTGGAGAGTTCTGTAGATGTCTATTAGGTCCGCTTGGTGCAGAGCTGAGTTCAATTCCTGGGTATCCTTGGTGACTTTCTGTCTCGTTGATCTGTCTAATGTTGACAGTGGGGTGTTAAAGTCTCCCACTATTAATGTGTGGGAGTCTAAGTCTCTTTGTAGGTCACTCAGGACTTGCTTTATGAATCTGGGTGGTCCTGTATTGGGGGCATATATATTTAGGATAGTTAGCTCTTCTTGTTGAATTGATCACTTTACCATTATGTAATGGCCTTCTTTGTCTCTTTTGATCTTTGTTGGTTTAAAGTCTGTTTTATCAGAGACTAGGATTGCAACCCCTGCCTTTTTTTGTTTTCCATTGGCTTGGTAGATCTTCCTCCATCCTTTTATTTTGAGCCTATGTGTGTCTCTGCACGTGAGATGGGTTTCCTGAATACAGCACACTGATGGGTCTTGACTCTTTATCCAATTTGCCAGTCTGTGTCTTTTAATTGGAGCATTTTGTCCATTTACATTTAAAGTTAATACTGTTATGTGTGAATTTGATCCTGTCATTATGATGTTAGCTGGTGATTTTGCTGGTTAGTTGATGCAGTTTCTTCCTAGTCTCGATGGTCTTTACATTTTGGCATGATTTTGCAGCGGCTGGTACCGGTTGTTCCTTTCCATGTTTAGCGCTTCCTTCAGGAGCTCTTTTAGGGCAGGCCTGCTGGTGACAAAATCTCTCAGCATTTGCTTGTCTGTAAAGTATTTTATTTCTCCTTCACTTATGAAGCTTAGTTTGGCTGGATATGAAATTCTGGGTTGAAAATTCTTTTCTTTAAGAATGTTGAATATTGGCCTCCACTCTCTTCTGGCTTGTAGGGTTTCTGCTGAGAGATCCGCTGTTAGTCTGATGGGCTTCCCTTTGAGGGTAACCCAACCTTTCTCTCTGGCTGCCCTTAACATTTTTTCCTTCATTTCAACTTCGGTGAATCTGACAATTATGTGTCTTGGAGTTGCTCTTCTCGAGGAGTATCTTTGTGGCGTTCTCTGTATTTCCTGCATCTGAACGTTGGCCTGCCTTGCTAGATTGGGGAAGTTCTCCTGGATAATATCCTGCAGAGTGTTTTCCAACTTGGTTCCATTCTCCCCATCACTTTCAGGTACACCAGTCAGACGTAGATTTGGTCTTTTCACATAGTCCCATATTTCTTGGAGGCTTTGCTCATTTCTTTTTATTCTTTTTTCTCTAAACTTCCCTTCTCGCTTCATTTCATTCATTTCATCTTCCATCGCTGATACCCTCTCTTCCAGTTGATCGCATCGGCTCCTGAGGCTTCTGCGTTCTTCACGTAGTTCTCGAGCCTTGGTTTTCAGCTCCAGCAGCAACTTTAAGCACTTCTCTGTATTGGTTATTCTAGTTATACATTCTTCTAAATTTTTTTCAAAGTTTTCAACTTCTTTGCCTTTGGTTTGAATGTCCTCCCGTAGCTCAGAGTAATTTGATCATCTGAAGCCTTCTTCTCTCAGCTCGTCAAAGTCATTCTCCATCCAGCTTTGTTCCGTTGCTGGTGAGGAACTGCGTTCCTTTGGAGGAGGAGAGGCACTCAGCATTTTAGAGTTTCCAGTTTTTCTGTTCTGTTTTTTCCCCATCTTTGTGGTTTTATGTACTTTTGGTCTTTGATGATGGTGATGTACAGATGGGTTTTTGGTGTGGATGTCCTTTCTGTTTGTTAGTTTTCCTTCTAACAGACAGGACCCTCAGCTGCAGGTCTGTTGGAATACCCTGCAGTGTGAGGTGTCAGTGTGCCCCTGCTGGGGGGTACCTCCCAGTTAGGCTGCTCGGGGGTCAGGGGTCAGCAACCCACTTGAGGAGGCAGTCTGCCCGTTCTCAGATCTCCAGCTGCGTGCTGGGAGAACCACTGCTCTCTTCAAAGCTGTCAGACAGGGACATTTAAGTCTGCAGAGGTTACTGCTGTCTTTTTGTTTGTCTGTGCCCTGCCCCCAGAGATGGAGCCTACAGAGGCAGGCAGGCCTCCTTGAGCTGTGGTGGGCTCCACCCAGTTGGAGCTTCCCGGCTGCTTTGTTTACCTAATCAAGCCTGGGCAATGGCGGGCGCCCCTCCCCCAGCCTCGCTGCCGCCTTGCAGTTTGATCTCAGACTGCAGTGCTAGCAATGAGCGAGACTCCGTGGGCGTAGGACCCTCCGAGCCAGGTGCGGGATATACTCTCGTGGTGCGCCGTTTTTAAGCCCATCGGAAAAGCGCAGTATTCGGGTGGGAGTGACCCGATTTTCCAGGTGCCGTCCGTCACCCCTTTCTTTGACTCAGAAAGGGAACTCCCTGACCCCTTGCGCTTCCCAAGTGAGGCAATGCCTTGCCCTGCTTCGGCTCGCGCACGGTGCGCGCACCCACTGACCTGCGCCCACTGTCTGGCACTCCCTAGTGAGATGAACCCGGTACCTCAGATGGAAATGCAGAAATCACCGTCTTCTGCGTTGCTCAGGCTGGGAGCTGTAGACAGGAGCTGTTCCTATTTGGCCATCTTGGCTCCTCCCCTCATAACCCATTATTTTAAACTGATAACAACTTAACACTGATTGCATAAACAAACATATATGCAAAAAGTAAACTCATAAAAACTCCACACTTTAACTTTGTCCACCTGCTTTTTAACTTTTTATTGTTTCTCTTTATGTTTTATTTTCTATCAATGTCCTGAAAAGTTGTAGTTATCATTTTTGTTTGGCTCATCACTTAGTCTTTCTACTTAAGACAAGAGTAGTTTACACACCACAATTACAGTGTTACACCATTCTGCGTTTTTCTGTGTGCTTATTATTACCAGTGAGTTTTGTACCTTCAGATCATTTCTTCCTGCTCATTAACATCCTTTACTTTCAGATTGAAGAACTCCCTTTAGCATTTCTTGTAGAACAGGTCTGGCATAGATGAAGTCTCTGTTTATTGGGGAAAATATTTATTTATTCTTCACAATTGAAGGATATTTTCACTGGATATACTATGTTAGGGTAAAAGTTTTCTTCCTTTAGCACTTTAAATATGTCACGTCACTCTTGCCTGTCCTGTAAGGTTTCTACTGAAAAGTATGCTGCCAGATGTATTGGAGTTCCATTGCATATTATTTGTTCTTCTCTTGTGCCACTTTTAGAATCCTTTCTTTATGCTTGACTTTGGGAGTTTGATTATTAAATGCCCAGAGGAAGTCTTTTTGGGGTTAAATCTGCTTGGTGTTCCATAACCTTCTTGTACTTCAATGTGGATATCTTTCTCTTGGTTTCGGAAGTTCTCTGATACTATCCCTTTGAATAAACTTTGTACTCTTGTTCTTTTCTCTACCTCCTCCTTTTGGCCCATAACTCTTAGACTTGCTCTTTTGAAGCTATTTTCTAGATCTTATAGATGTCTTGTCTTTTGTCTCCTCTGTGTATTTTCTAATAGCCTGTCTTCAAGCTCACTAATACTTTCTTCTGCTTGATCGATTCCGCTATTAATAGGCTCTGAAGCATTCTTCAGCATGTCAATTGTATTTTTCAACTCTAGAATTTCTTCTTGATCCTTTTTAATTATTTCAACCATTTTGTTAAATTTATCTGATAGAATTCTGAATTCCTTCTGTGTTGTGTTATCTTGGATTTCTTTGAGTCCTTAAAACAGCTACTTTTGAATTATCTTTCTGAAAACTCATATATCTCTCTTCCTCCAGGATTGGCTCCTGGTACCTTATTTAGTTCATTTAGTGAGGTCGTGTTTTCCTGGATGGTGTTGATGCTTGTAGATATTTGTCGGTGTTTGAGCATTGAAGAGTTAGATATTTATTGTAGTCTTCACAGTCTAGGCTTGTTTGTGCCTGTCCTTCTTGGGGAGGCTTTCCAGGTATTTGAAGGAACATGAGCCCCAAGCCCAATATTGCTGTGGTTTTTGCAGACTCATAAGGTACCACCTTGGTAGTCTTGGATAAGATCCGGGATAATTCTCTAGATTACCAGGCACAGGCTCTTGCTCTTTTCTCTTACTTTCTCCCAAATGAACAGTGTTCCTCTTTGTGTTGAGTAACCTGGAACTGGGGATGTGGTGATGCAAGCACCCCTGTGGTCACCACTACTGGGGCTGCACTTGGTCAGACCTGAAGACAGCACAGCACTGGGTTTTTCCCAAGGCCCTTCCCTTCAGGGCAGCGAACTCCCCCAAGCCCGGGAATGTCTGTAAATGTTTTCTGGGAGCCAGAGATTAGACTAACTAAATCTTAGCTATTTATCTTATGTTCTGTTCTACTGCGGCTAAGCTGACACTCAACCCACAATACAAAGTCCTTCTTGCTCTTTCCTCTGCTTTCCACAGGCAGAGGAGCTCTCACTGTGGCCACCACCACCACTGGTCCATGGGCAGTTCTACCCAGGCCACTGCTAATATTCACTCAAAACCCAAGGCTCTTCTATCAGCTTTTCGTTAATGTTCCCAGGCCTAGGACTCACCCTTCAGGGCAGTGGACTCCCGTCTGGGCCAGGACGTGTTCAGAAATGCTGTCCAAGTGCCTGGGCCTGGACTTGGGGACCCCAAGAGCCAGACTGTTGTTCTACCCCTCTGTGGCCAAGCTGGTAGCCAAGGTGCAAGACAAAGTGCTTTTTACTTTTCCTTCTGCTTTTCTCAAACTGAAGGAGTCTTTCATCCTAGCTACCACAGCAGAGTCATTCCTGAAGCCTGCACTTCTCAGAGTCCAAGGCCCACAGTGTACTCCCTGGGTATCACTGCTGCTTATTCAGGCCCAAGTCAGCAGGAGATAAATCCTACCAGGACTGGGTCCTTCTCTTCAAGGCAGTAGGTTTCCTTTTGTCCAATGGTGTGTCTAGAAATGTTGTCTGGGACCTGGGGTCTGGAATTGGGGCTTCATGACTCTACTCTGATATCCAAGATGTAAGACAAAGTCCTCTTTACTCTTTGCTCTCCTCTTATTAAGCAGAAGGGAGGGGTCACTTTCATTGCTGTGAGATGCACTGTCTGGAGTTGGGGAAGTCATGGCACAAGCGTTCCCTTAGCTGCACCAGCTGGTGTCTTCCTAGGTCACATGCCACCTTGGTCCACTGGCTCTAAGCCGAGCCTAGCACTAGGAGTTGCCTAAGAATTGCAGTCCTTGTGTCCTAGATTGCCTTTCAAGTTTACCCAGGACCCCAAAGCAGTTCAGCCCACAGTGACAAGGCTTGCTGAGAAACTCAAGTTCTGATCATTGGAATGGGCAATTCTCCTTTGGCTAGGGCTAGTCAATAGCTGTCTTCATGCACAGGTGCTGGCTGAGCCTAGCATGGCTTTATTCTCCTCTGTGACAGGGTGTCACTGCATTCAATGTAAAGTCTCCCTAGTCACTGTGCTCTCCCTCTCCAAAGTGCACATAGTCTTTCTTTGAGCCACATGGCTGCTGGTGGGAGATCGGAGAGGGTCGGTCTCTCTTGCCCTTCTCAATGCCTCTTTCAGTGATATCAAGTTAAAACTAGGTACTGTGATCCTGCATCTGATTTTTGGTTCTTGTGATGCCGTGGTACATTTCTATGTGCAGATACTTGTTAAAATTTGGTGTTTTGGGTGGTGAAGTGGGGTGAATTATGTAGCCTTCTATTCCACCATCTTGCTGTGTTCCCTCTCGTTGTTTTAATTTGCAATTCCCTAGTGATATGTGATTTTAAGCGTCTTACTATGTGCTTACCTGTTATCTTTATATCTTCTTTGGTGAAATCATATCTTTTGCCAGTTTTTAAAATCAAGCTTTCTGTTTCTTCAGTCTTGATTTTTGAGAGATCTTTGTTTATTTTGAATAATGGTCTTTTATCAGATGTGTCTTTTGCAAATATTTCTTCTAGTCTGTTGCATGTCTTCTCACGTCATGACATTGTCTTTCACAGAGCAGAAGTTTTAAATTTTATTAAAGTCCAGACTGCCAATTATTTCTTTTCTCGATCATGTATTTGGTGTTGTATCTAAAAAGTCATCACTATACCCAAGGTCTTCTAGGTCGTCTCATATGTTATCTTTAATAGTTTTAGAGTTTTGTATTTCACATTTAGGTCTATGATCTATTTTGAGCTAATTTTTATGAAGCATTTAAAGCCTGCTTCTAGATCCTTTTTTTTTCCATGTGAGCGTCCCATTGCTCCAGAACCATTTGTGGGAAAGGCTGTATTTGCTTCACTGTATTTATTGTCTTTGCTCATTTGCCAAGGATCGGTAGCTGTACTAATGTATATCTATCTGTGGGCTTTCTATTCTGTATCATTGATGTACTTGTCTGTTCTTTCACCAATACTACATTAATTATTGTAGCTTTGTAGTAAGTCTTGAAGTTGGTTAGTGTGAGTTTCTAACTTTGTTCTCATCCTTCAATATTGAATTGGCTATTCTGGGATTTTTCCTCTCCATATAAACTTTGGAAAGAGTTTGTTGATATTCACAAAATAACCTGAGGGTATTTTTTATTGAGATTGCACTGAATCTGTAGATCAACTTGGAAAAAACTAAAATCTTGATAATACTGAATCTTCCTTTCCATGAACATGCAACACTTTTCCATTTATCTAGTTCTTTGATTTCTTTCAAGAGTTTCATAGGTTTTTTTTCATATAGATCTTGTACATATTTTATTAGATTTATACCTAAATATTTCATATTTTTGAGTGATAATGTAAGAGGCATTGAAAGTAATTGCCTTTTGTATATTAACTTTCTGTAATCACATGTTAGTTCCAGGAGTTTTTTTTGATTTGGGGAGATTTTCTACATGGATGATCATGATATCTGAAAATAAAGGCAACTTTATTTCTTTCTTCTTAGTCTGTATGCTTTTTTTTTCTTATTTTGTATTAGCAAGAATTTTTAATATGATGTTAAAAAACCAGTAGTGAGAGGAGACATTCTTTTTTTTTTTTTTTTTTGAGATGGAGTCTTGCTCTGTCACCCAGGCTGGAGTGCAGTGGCGCAATCTCAGCTGACTGCAACCTCTGCCTTCTGGGTTCAAGTGATTCTCCTGCCTCAGCCTCCCGAGTAGCTGGGACTACAGGCGCGCACCACCACACTTGGGTAATTTTTTGTATTTTTAGTAGAGACAGGGTTTCACCATGTTGGACAGGATTGTCTCGATCTCCTGACCTTGTGATCTGCCTGCCTCGGGCTCCCAAAGTGCTGGGAATACAGGCTTGAGTCACTGCACCCGGCCGAGAGGAGCCATTCTTGCCTTATTCTTGATGTTAGGAAAGCTTTGAGTTTCCCATTATTAAGTATGGTTTTAACTACACCTTTTTGTAGATGTTCTTAATTTAGTTAAAGAACTTCCCTCTATTCTGTTGAGCGCTTTTTATGATGAATGAGTATTGGAAATAGTTAAATGTTTTCTCTGCATCTGTTGATAAGAGCATGCGATTTTTCTTCTTAAGCTTGTTGATATGGTGGATTGTATTAATTGATTTTTGAATGTTAAACCAGCCTTGCATAACTGGCATAAATATGACTTTGTCATGGTATATAATTTTTTTTTTTTTTTTGAGAGACAGAGTTCTACTCTGTCACCCAGGCTGGAGTCCAGAGGTATGATCTGGGCTCCCTGCAACCTCTGTCTCCTGGGTTCAAGCAATTCTCCTGCCTCAGCCTCCTGAGTAGCTAGGACTACAGGCACATGCCACCACACCTGGCTAATTTTTGTATTTTTAGTAGAGACGGGGTTTCATCATGTTGGGCAGACTGGTCTGGAACTCTTGACCTCAAGTGATCCACCCACCTTGGCCTCCCAAAGTGCTGAGATTACAGGTGTGAGCCACCATGCCCAGCTTCTTTTTATACATTGTTGAATTTAATTTGCGAATATTCTGTTGAGGGTTTCTACATCTATGTTTATGAGATATATTGGTCTATAGTTTTCTTTTCTTTTAATGCCTTCACCTGTTTTGCTATCGGGGTAATTCTCTCCTTATGGAATGAGTTTGGAAGTATTCTCTTTGTTTCTATCTTCTGAAAGAAATTGTAGATCACTGGCCTAATTCCTTTTTTAGGTGTTTGGTAGAATTCACCAACAAACCCATCTCGGCCTGGTCCTTTTTGTTTTGGGAGGTTATTCATTATTGATTAAATTTTTAAATAGATATAGTCCAATTTAAATTGTTCTTTTTTATGTAAATTTAGATAGATTGTGTCTGTAAGTAATTGTAACCTATTTCATCTATGTTGCCACATTTGTTGGCATAGAGTTTTGTATAATGTTTCCTTGTTATCCTTTTAAAGTTGATCAGATCTGGAGTGATATCCCTTCTTTCATTTCCAATATTAATAATTTGTGTCCTCCTTTTTTTCTTAGTCTTAGTAGATGCTTATTAATTTTGTTGATGTTTTCAAAAACAAGCTTTTAGTTTTGTTGATTTTCTCTGTTGATTTCCTCTTTTCAATTTCATTGATTTCTGGTCCAGTTTTTGTTCTTTTTCCTGTTTAATTTGGATGTATTTGTTCTTGTTTTTCTTGTTTCCTCAGGTGGAAGCTTAGATGAATGATTTTAGGTTTTCCCTTTTGTATACATGCATTCAGTGCTATAAATTGGTTTCTAATAACTGCTTTTACTGCATCCCAAAATTTTTCACAAGTTGTATTTTTATTTTCATTTAGTTCAAAATATTATAAAATTTCTTTTGAAGGTTCATATTTGACTTTTGTGTTATTTGGAGTATATTGTTTAATCTCCAAGCATTTTGGGAGTTTCTCAAAATATTTTTGTTATTGATTTCTAGTATAATTCCTTTTGTGGGTAGAGAGCAGACATTGTATGAGTTCTATTTTTTGAATTTTAAGTTGTGTCTTAAGGTCCAGAATATGGTCATTTTGAATGTTCCGTGTGATGTTGAGAAGAATGTGTAATCTAATCTTATCAGATGAGGTTATCTATAGATGTTAATTATATCCAGGTGATTAATGATGCTGTTGGGTTTGACTATATTCTTACAGCTTTTCTGCCTGCTGGATCTGTGCATTTATGATAAAAAAGTTTTTAAAGTGTTCAACTACAATAGTGGATACATCTGTTCATCCTTGCAGTTATATGAGCTTTTGCTTACAGATTTTGATGCTGTGATGTTGTCTTCATACACATTAAGGATGGCTATCTCCTCTTGGAGTACTGACCTCTTTATCACTATGTAATTCTTCTCTTTATCTCTGATAATCTTCCTTGATCTGAAGTTTGCTCTATCTGAAATTAAGACAGCTACTTCTGCTTTGCTTTAGTATTCTATAAACAACATATAATTGGGTCTTATATTTTTAATCGACCCTGACAATCTCTGTCTTTAATGTTTTTTTATATCCTTCTTTTAGTGATAGCCTCACTATGTTGCCTAGGCTGGACTAAAACCCTGAGCTCAGGGATCCTTCCTCCTTGGCCTCCTGAGTATCTTGGACTACAGGTATGCACCACCATACCTGAATTCTGTCTTTTAGTTGGTGTATTTACACTGTATACTTTTAAAGTGATTACTAATATAGTTGGAATAATATCAACCACATTTGTTACTGTTTTCTCTTTGTTACTCTTGTTCTTTTTTACTATTTTTGTCTTCCTCTCTTTTTCTGCCTTTTGTAGTTTTAATTTAGCATTTTATATGATTCCATTTTCTCTCCTTTCTTAGCATATCTGTTGTACTTCTTTTTTCATGCTTTTTTGTAGCAGTTGTCCTAGAGTTTGCTATATATATTTACAACTAATCCAAGTTTCAAATAACGCTATCCCATTTCATGGGTCATGCAAGTATTGAATAATAACAAAGTAATTCCAATCTCTTCCTCCCTTCCTTGTGTCGTTGCTGTCATTCATTTCACTATACACTATTTCTATGCAAACATACATAAGCATATATATTATACATATAACAAATCATTCATTTCACTATATACTACTTCTATGCAAACATACATAAACATATACATATGCATATATAATATATCGTATAGTATATAGCATATATAATGTCTTATGTCATCAAATACATTGTTGCTATTATTTTGAACAATCTGTTATCTGTTAGAACACTAAAAATGAGAAACACAATTTTTTTTTATTTTTACCTTCACTTAATCCTTTTGTCCGATGCTTTCTTTATTTCGTCCTGAGTTTTTGACCTATGTCATTTTTATTCTCTCTAAAGCAGGAGTCTCCAACTCTCAGGCCATGGACTGGAATCAATCTGTGGCTTGTTAGGAACTGGGCTGCATAGCAGGAGGTGAGTGGTGGATGAGCGAATATTACCGCCTGAACTCCACCTCCTGTCAGTTCAGTGACAGCATCGGATTCTCACAGAAGCACAAACCCTATTGTGAAGTGTGCATGTAAGGATCTAGGTTGTGCAATCCTTGTGAAAACTGAATGCCTGATGATCTGAGGTCGAACAGTTTCATCACCTCATCATTCCTGGTCAGTGAAAAAATTGTCTTCCATGAAACCAGTCCCTGGTGCCAGAAAGGTTGGCGACTGCTGTCCTAAAGTAACTCTTTTAACATTTCTTGTGAGGCGTGTGTACAGTCAACAAATTCTCTCAATTTTTGTTCATCTGAGAAAGTCTGTGTCTTTTGAAGGATAATTTTTTGGGGTACAGAATTCTAGGTTGGTGGGTTTCTTTCTCTTAATACTTTAAATATTTCACTCTGCTCTCTTTTTGCTTGCATGGTTTCTAAGGAGAGGTCAGGTGGGTGTAATTTTTATTTTTGCTCCTCTTTATATAAAGTGTTTTTTTCCCTCCTGGCTTCTTTCAAAACTTTTTGTTTGTCTTTGATTTTCTGAATATTGAATATGATATGTCCAGGTGGAGTGTGTGTGTGTGTATGTGTGTGTGTTTGTGTGTGTGTGTTCTCTGAGCATCTTGTATTTTTGATTTGGTATCTGACATTGATTTGGGGAAATTCTCAGTCATTTTTGCTCCAAATATTGCTTCTGTTTCTTTCTGTCTTCTTCATTGTTATTTTCATTACATGGATGTTTCCATTTTTGTAGTTGTCCCACAGTTCTTGGATATTCTGTTCTTTTTTTTTTCCTTTGCAGTTTTGCAAGTTTCTATTATTATCTCCTGGAGCTCTAGATTTTTTTCTCAGCTGTGTCTAGTCTAGAATGAGCCTATTGAAGGGATTCTTCGTCTCTGTTACAGTGTTTTGGTCCTTAGTGATACTTTTTAATTCATTCTTATAATTTTCATCTCTGCCTACATTACCCGTCTGTTCTTGTATGTTGTCTTACTTTTTCATTAGAGCCCTGTATTAGTCCATTTTCACAATGCTGATAAAGACATACTTGAGACTGGATAATTTATGAAGAAAAAGAGATTTAATAGACTCACAGTTCCAGGTGGGTGGTGAGGTCTCACAATTATTGTCGAGGCAAAAGGCAAATCTTACACAGTGACAGGCAAGAGAGAAAGAGAGTCAAGTCAAAGTGGAAACCCTTTATAAAACCAGCAGATCTTATGAGACTTATTCAATACCACAAGGATAGTATGGGGGAAACTGCCCCCATGATGTAATTATCTCCCAACGGTCCCTCCCACAACACGTGGGAATTATGGGTGCTATAGTTCAAGATGAGATGTGGGGTGGGGACACAGCCAAACCATATCAAGCCCTTAGCATATCATAGTTATCATAGTTGTAATACATTTCCCATCTATAGTTCTGACATTTCTGCCACGTTTGAACTGGCTTGTTCAGTGTCTTAAAACCTTTTTTTTTTTTTTTTGCCTTTTAGTATGACTTGCAATTTTTTGTTGAAATGTGGATGTAATGTACTCGGTGAAATAAATTCCAGTTTATAGATCCTTATTAGTGTGGTGATCTGGTGTGGGGGAGGGGGAGTGTTGGTTGTGTAATTACTTCTGTTTTGGTGAGCCTGTGCTCCTGGACTGTGAACTTCACCAGTGCTTCTAATATTCCCCCACCCCACCTAGCAGGTAGAACAAAATGGCTAGCGGGGGCTAGAGATGGGTATTTCCCTTCCTCCAGGTTGGTTAGGCTCTGATGAAACTCCAGCAGGTTAGGCTGTGGTAAAATTGTTTTACCTGAGGGCAGACCTTGTTAAGAACAGAAAGCTCTGGCCTATCTCAAAATGTTTACTTCCAGCCCCTCAAGCACTGCCTCCATTTCCAAGCCAGAAGCAGGAGGGGATTTTTCTCTAATGTTCACCTTGAGGACCTGGCAGAACTCTTGGAAGTAAAACTCACAAAAGTGTGGGAGTCCTCCTATGACTGGGTCCCCTTGGAGTTTTTAACTCTCAGACTAGAAGAGTTGATTGTATTAATATTTCAGTTAGTTCAGATTTTTTCTTGTTGTTAGGATGGACTGGCCACTTCTAAGCAGCTTACATGCTGGTGTGGAAAACAGAAAAAGCTCACTTTTGAAGACGTGCAGCAACTGACTTGGACTTGGCTATGCTCAATGCCTTATGAGAGCAAATCAGCAAAAAATGTGTGACATAATTACTCAATACCATCAATTACATCTGGATATCAGAGAGCTAAACAGTTCTACAGATAATGTCGATTTAGATAATGAATGAAATGGCAAGCCTTGACGGTCTCACAATAGGACAAAAAGCTGAGTTTCATTTATGAGTGGTATAGTTGTAATGTGACAGCATTCCAACGTTCTTCTTAAACAAGGCTTTGTGTTCTTTATTGCCTTGATGACAAGGAAGATGATGGTAATGATCATGATTACAGTGGTAAGAAACCAACTAACTCTCAATGCACACTTATTTTGTAATGAGTGCTTACTCTGTTTCAGGTACATGGTAATATCCTGAAGTATTGTCCTAAGTATTGTCATATTTAGTCCTCACTATAATGCTGTAAAGTAGTGATGAATTCTTATGTTACTGATAAGAAACTAAGCCTAGAACATGCCTAAGATATTTAAATTATCCAAGCTCATACAGACACAATATGGTAGACTTGTGCCTTCTGCTTCACTTTGTCAACACTTCAGAGACTAAAAGGTTAACCACTTTAACCACTATGTCAGAATTAGAGAACTGAAAATAAAGGTGATCAAAAACTACTTAAAAAAAGGCCACAAACGTATTTAGATGCATAAAATGCAAAAGCCATTGGCAAAGTTAGAGAAAGAAATAGTAAATTTTAGTAATTTCATATCAATTAACTAAGGATTATTTGTTTTACCTGATCCATCAAAAAGAGATATCAATTAAAAAGAATAATCTAACACAATAAATTTATTATTTATTAAATTTATTATTAATCTAACACAATAAATTTGTTACTTATGAAATGTATTATTATTTAATAATAATCCCAAGTAGCTGGAATTACAGGTGCACACCACCACGCATGGCTAATTTTTTGTATTTTAATAGAGACAGGGTTTCACCATGTTGCCCAGACTGGTCTTGAACTTCTGAGCTTAGGCAAACCACCCGCCTCAGCCTCCCAAAGTGCTAGGATTACAGGTACGAGACATGGCATGTGGCCAAAATGTTATTTAAATATTAAATCAACTCCAAACATGGTAAATCCAAAGAAATTCATGCCCTGGCACTTCATAATCAAGCTGTTGAACCTAAAGACAAAGAAAAATAAAAATCTTGAAAGCAAACTATTCTTCAGGAATCCAAGTGAAATAAAGACATTTTTAGATGAAGAAAAACTGAGTAGCTCTATTCTGAAGAATTGCTGAAGGGAATTCTTCAGAAAGAAAGGAAATAATAACAGAAGAAAGTTGAAACATAAGAAATGACAAAGGAGATGAAAATGATGACTATCTGGGTAAATATAGTAGACTATTCTACCATTGAATTATTTAGCATAGGTTTTTCAGTTGAAGGCAAAAATTATAACATTATCTAATAAGATATTCAATGTGTAAATGTAATGTAAAAGACAACTATAACAAAAAAGGAAGGTGGCTAAAGGGATCTAGGTGGTGGCTAGAATTTCTGCATTTCACTTTGTGTGGTAAAATATTGATTCCAAGTAGATGGTAAAAAGTTAAGTGTGTGCATTATAATCCCTGGAGCAACCACTGAAAAGCAAATCAATGCAAATTCAAATTATTAAAATATGATGAATGACAATGGAATAATAAAAAATTTGCACAATCCTAAAGGAGGCAGGAAAAGAGAATAGGAGGAAAAACAACAACAAAAAACCAACAGAACAAACAAAACAAGGAATAAATGAAACATCTATATCAAAAGATATCAACAATAACATTATATGCAAATAGTCTAAACATGCCAATTAAAGACAGAGATTGTCAGAATGGATTAAAAAATATGAGCCAAGTATATGCTGTCTTCAGGAAAGTTACTTCAAACATAATATTGGTAGATGAAAACTAAAGAGATGGAGAAAGATATGCCATACAAAGTAATCAAAAGAACCTGGAGTGGCTAGATTTATATCACATAAGGTAGACTTTAGAACAAACAAAATTACCAGGGATAAAGAGGAACATTATATAATGATAAAAGAATCAACTCATCAAGGATAAATAAGAATTTTAAATGTGTATGAATCTAACAACAGAGCTTCAAAATACGCAAAGCAAAACCTTATAGAATTGAAAAGAGTAATTGACAATTCACAATTATACTCGTAGAACTCAACACTCTTATTTCAGTAACAGAGCTAGTAGACAGAAAATCAGTCAGAACACAGAAGAATTGAAATGATGCCATCAACTATATGAATCTAATTGACATTTATAGAGCCTTCCACTCAACAACAGCAGACTACTGCTTTTCCTGTTATCTTCTGTTACTGTTTTTCAGTTTAATTCTCTTATGGCCAGAAATTTTACTTAGAGTGATTTCAATTCTATCAAATTTAATAAAGTTTGTTTTGTGATCCTGAATGTGGTTTATCTTGGTGAATCTTCAAATGCACTTGAAAAGAGTATAATCCTATAGAAAGCAGAGTGGGTAGGTTTATGTGTAGAGATGGTGGTTTAGGAGATAGGGTATAACTCCATTATAAAGCAGGAGGCAAGGAAATATGCTGAGTTGGTAGTGAAGAGAGGATAGGAATGAAACTTCAGAGTAAGTATTATGGGTGTTACACAGAACACAGTCCTAAGTGATTCCAAATTTTAAAAACTGATATAGAAGAACATAAATTTGCATGATTGTACAGTATATTTAGGGGCATTTGCCATCTCAGGTATGTGAGCAGAAAAGCCAAATGATCCGAGGACATAGTAAAAAGATAAGATGTCAAAAATGCTGACATTCCTAGTAAGAGAAAAATTGAAATGATGCACCTTGGTGTCTAGGTTGGAGGGCAGCAAGAGAGGCCATAAAGGGAATGATGGATTGGAAGAAAACTGAGAAGTCAGAGGACTGAATATTGTCAAGGGATAGGGGAGCAGACATAGAGGGGGAAAGGTAAAGGACTAATATTTGCATTATTGTAAATTACTTGTGGGCCATTTATTGGTGTAAATAGTTTTTGATCAATATGACAAATTCTTCAAATGAGTATAGATAACAAAAATGCAATTAACTATTACATAAGAAAAACTTTATTATTTTTTAAGATTGGCAGTTGTAACACTTCTATTTATTTATTTGTTTTATGGACAGGGTCTTGCTGTGTTGTCCAGGCTGGAGATCAGTAGTGAATCACAGCTCACTGTGACCTTGAACACTGGGGCTCAAGTCATTCTCCTGCCTCAGCCTTGAAAAAAATTTATTAATAGCATGTTTGTCCTATCATAGATATTTTACTACTTTAAACCGGCTTAGAAAACACCTCTTTTAGCTTATATATTGTGCTAAATAAGATGGGCAGTGATATTTAGCCATTGTAGTGGCTTATGAATATAAGTGCTATGGAGGTGGAATGAATGCAAAACGGATAAAAAATTAACCATGTGGAATAATGCATTTAAATACAGGAGTATAAAGAATGTGGCTTATTGTCCACATGACTAACATATTCCCAGAATTTGAACAGAAGTTAAAGAAAATAGAATGCCTATTGGTACAGCTAAAAAAATTCCTTTGAGATTAAAGTACATTTAAGGAACTATATACTATTTTACTATAATGGTCCAAGTTTTTCCCCTGTGAATAACTGGGATGTAACTCAAGTGAGAAGTCAAATGAGAAAGCCTGATTTAATGTTAAATTATATAGAGCTCACTTATTTATAAATTCATACAGCAGCATCAATCTCTGTAACAAAACCCACTGAAATCAATCAGTTTGCAAGTACTAAATATGGAGTGTTCTTCAGTATCTGGCTCTGTCTACATATTTATATTTATCTTTTGATATTCATTCCTTCTGTTCCTTCTCTAGTGGCACTAAACTGCATGCAGTTTTCTTTTTTTCTTTTTAGAGACACGGTCTCACTTTGTTGCCCAGGTTGGAGTGCTGTGGCATGATGTTGGCTCACTGCAATCTTGACCTTCTGGGTTCAAGCAATGCTCCCTCTTCAGCCTCCTGAGTAGCTAGAGCTACAGGCATGCGCCACCATGCCTAGATAATTTTTGTATTTTTTGTAGAGATGAGGTCTCGCTATGTTGCCCAGGTTGATCTTGAACTCCTGGCTTCAAGTGATCCTCGTGCCTTGGTCTCCTTAACATAACACCACAAACAACAGCGGCTTCAACAAGACAGAAACATATTTCTCAACTATAACGAGATACCATCTCACACCAGTCAGAATAGCTATTAACAAAAAGTCAAAAAATAGCAGAGGGTTGTGAGGTTGTGGAGAAAAGGGAATGCTTATACACTGTTGGTGGGAGTGAAAATTAGTTCAACCATTAAGGAAATATTGCTTCTCTTCAAACAAAAAATACAAATTCTGGCCAGGTGTGGTGGCTTATTCCTGGAATCCTAGCACTTTGGGAAGCCAGGCAGGAGAATCACTTGAGGCCAGGAGTTTGAGAGCAGCTTGGGCAACGTGGCAAGACTCTGTCTCTACAAAAGATGTTTTTTTTTCAAATTACCTGGGTGTGGTAGCACACACCTGTAGTCCTAGCTACTTAGGAGGCTGAGGCAGGAGGATTGCTTGAGCCCAGTTTGAGGTTGCAGTGAGCTATGATTGTGCCACTGCATTCCATTCTGAGGGACAGAGAGTGAGACCCTGACTCAAAAAACAACAACAAGAACAACAAAAAATAACAACAACAAAAACAAAAACGAAAACAAAAAAAGACCAAATTCTATAGTCTACTCTGTAGTCAGGTATGGATATGTAACTACATTTTGGCCAATGTGAGTAGAAGAGTTAAGTCAATTTCTTGGATGTTTC
This sequence comes from Homo sapiens, assembly GCF_000001405.40. Lineage (NCBI taxonomy): Eukaryota > Metazoa > Chordata > Mammalia > Primates > Hominidae > Homo > Homo sapiens. The sequence goes on along the minus strand of NC_000008.11, from coordinate 16,929,224 downwards.
CTTAAAGAGATGATTCTTTTCTTTCATTATCCCTGGAGTTCAGTGTTAGTTAGAGCTCTGGAGGCTTTTTGGATCAGGCAATGGAGGACCTCACTTTAGTGGTAGTGAACAGTGAACTGCAAACTGTTTGAACCCCTAACGACTTTGCAGAGCCCTGTGCTAGTACTTAGCTGCCTAACTGTGAAATTCTTTCTATTTTTAAGTGAGATATACATTTCTTTTGAAAAAACTTTTATTTTAGGGTCAAGGGTATATGTGCACATTTGTTATATGGGTAAATTGGTGTCACAGGGGTTTGTTGTTCAGAATATTTTGTCACCCAGGTACTAAGCCCAGTACCCAATAGTTATTTTTCTTGATGTTCTCCCTCTTCCGACCCTCCACCCTCAAGTAGGCCCCAGTGCCTGTTGTTCTCCTCTTTGTGTCCATGTGTTCTCATCACTTAGCTCCCATTCATAAGTGACAACATCGGGTATTTGTTTTTTTGTTCCTGCATTAATTTGCTAAGGATAACGGCCTCCAGCTCCATCCATCTTCTCGCAAAAGACTTAATGTTGTTGTTTTATATGGCTGCATAATATTTCATGGTGTATGTGTGCACATTTTCTTTATCTAATCCGCCATTGATGGGCATTTAGCTTGATTCCATGACTTTGATAATGTGAATAGTGCTGCAATGAACACACATGTGCGTGTGTCTTTATGAAAGAATGATTATATGCCTTTGGGTATATACCCAGTAATAGATTCCTGGGTCAAATGGTAGTTGTATTTTTAGCTCTCTGAGGAATTGCCACGCTGTTTTCCTCAATGGTTGAAGTAACTTTCACTCCCACCAACAGTGTATAAGCATTCTCTTTTCTCCACAACCACGCCAGGATCTGCTATTTTTGACTTTTTAATAATAGCTGTTCTGAGTGGTGTGAGATGGTATCTCGTTGTGGTTGAGAAATATATTTCTGTCTTGTTGAAGCCACTGTTGTTTGTGGTGTTATGTTATTTGTAAATAAACCTCATCTTCTCTTCTACACTATGAACTCCTTGATGAGGTAGACCTCTTTTTTTTTTTTTTGTATTTCGTATTACTGTTAGTGTGGTGTTTGGCATATAGGGAAGGTAAACAATAGACCAGCACTAAACAGGACTGAGGAAGTATAAATTGGGACAACGTTTAAATGCGAGAACTGGAGGATGGTCCTGTATCGTGAAGCATGTAAGTTAACTCTTATAGCAAGCAGAAATGGGCACTTCAAACTTTAATGACGGCAATAAAAACTGGAACAACTCTTTTAAATATATATACACACACATATATATGAAGTATTTATATATTTGAAAGTTATAAATGTATATAACTGTATATTTAGATCATATATTATATATTTATATATAATTATATGTGATATATAAATATATATTTGCATATAAAATATAAATATATAAAATTATATATAAAATATAAATACATATTTAATGTGTATTTATCACATATAATAGATTTATAACTAATTATATGAAATAAATATATACTCTCTAGAAGTTCTTAAACTCTTTACAAAATATTTCCTCCTCTGTGCTTTGTCTTAAGGAAACAATCAGAAATGTGTGTGTATGTAGAGGCAAATCTATGTGAGCACAAAAAGGACCGTCATGAAAATGTTTCTCGTAGGGAAAAAGATCTTGGCAATAACTTCAATGTTCAAATAATGGTTAAATGAGACACTGTATATCCACTGAACGAGGATTATTAATTATGCTCATTAATGTAATCATAATTAACTAATTACCATTACAATTATGTTTAAAATTATGCAGAAGTGGAGTAATATGCATTTTAAAAAAGTGAAAGAAACTGGATAAATATAAAATCAGTAAACTAATATATGAATAACCGAAACATAGGAACAGAGTTTAGAAGCGAGCTAAAACATTTATAGAGATAGTATTTGTGAGCTGGAATGAATCAATAATGTCCTCTTATCCTTCATGTAATTTTTTCCTGTATTCCATATTTTTCTTAAGGACTATGATGACTATAATTACTATAATTGTTAAATTGAGAAAGAAAATAAGAAGTTAAAGCTTGGGCAATAACATAAATCTTAGAAGAGCTCGTAGATTGCTGCTTAGTTGTATTTTTAGGCGTGTATTTAAATTGATATCACTGTCACATACACTACCGGTCCATTCTCAAAGGCATTAATGATTTTTTAATGCATTCTGGTTCTTGAGTCTCAAATTGACTTGGGCTGACATAAACATTTCAGTGTTCTTTGAACCACAAAGGTTATTGAAATGTCATTTTATATATAAGATTCTGACTTCCTCATATATATAAATGTGTATATATATACATATATATATGTATATATATATGTGTGTATATATATATATATATATATATTTTTTTTTTTTTTTTTTTTTTTTCCCCCTTGAAACAGAGTCTTGCCCTGTCACCCAGGCTGGAGTGCAGTGGTGGGATCTCAGCTCACTGCAACCTCTGCTTCCTGGGTCCAGGCGATTCTCCTGTCTCAGCCTCCCGAGTAGCTGGGACCACAGGTGCTCGCCACCATGCCCAGCTAATTTTTGTGTTTTTAATAGAGACGGGGTTTCACCATATTGGCCAGGCTGGTCTCGAACTCCTGACCTTGTGATCAGCCCGCCTTAGCCTCCTGAAGTGTTGGGATTACAGGCGTGAGCCACCGTCTGGCCCCTCATATATTTGTAATTACAAAATCATGAAATGAAGAAATTCATTTTCACAAGTCATGTAACTCAAAACAAGAATGTTTTATGTGCTTACTGCCAGATCCCCCAGCCTGTTTTACTATTTTAGATTACCCATTTGAAAGAAAATCCACCTGAGTACTGCTTTCAAGTAATGTTTTTGGGTGGTGATGAAATCGGGTGATTACAGGCTGAATTACTGCTGAGTAAATTAGGAAACCATCAAAGCACAGAACTGAATTGACTAGTTCCCTCCTTCACAACATTCTAACAGGGCTCTAAGTCAGACTAACAAATAGTCAGGTTGACCACCTTTGATTTGTTCAAACACAGCTCTCACAGAAAACACTTCTTGCAGGGAGGTAGAGAGAGCACAGAGAGAAAACAAAACTGAAAGATGAGAAATGAAAAATAAAGTAGGAGAAGGTAGTAAAAAGGGAAGGAGTGTTAACCTTCTAAAGAAACTCTATTGTTCTAACCCCAGAAGATAATAAATTCAGAGATTCGGCCAGTCATAGACCCATAGGGTCAAGGAAATCTAAGTCTCCTTTGGGTTACCAGATCCGGTAGGCCAACCTAAAATTACCAAGAAAAACATAAGTAACTGAAAAATTGGACTTGCCATCCTTCAACATTGATAGGTTACTTATAGGTTACTTAAAGTCTCCTCTTGCAACATTGCAATTCCGAATGATGGTTCACTCCCTGGAAGTAACATGAAGATGCTGAGGAGGAGTCAGTTGGGGACAAACAGCTTCATTCTCATTAAAGGCAAATTCTCATTCTCATGTATGTTTCAAATAATTCATGGCATGATCAGTCTTAAATGAAGATAAAAACTGTTTAGCAACTAATTCATATCCATAGGATTATTTACTTTCAAAAAGTATTTGAAGTTTAAAAATATATCAATCACAACAAATTACACACTGAGTTACCTTGTGCTGTTAACCAAAGGCAATACGTAAAAATCTTCAAGACTTCTGAAAAGGAAGAAATGTAGTGCAAAAAAAAAAAAAAAAAAAATAGGGAAAAACGAGCAAAAATCCTCCTTTCTAGGTCTATATTTTAAAAGAAAAGCTGTAGATCTCCAGGAGAAAGAAGACATATATAAAGTAATAGGCCAAAATATAGTTCATATATAACTCAAGATAGGAAAAATCATATTACAAATTAAGTAGGCCTTTAATTAGCAGGGAGACACTTTTGGCCTATAGGAGATGCCACATTTATCAGTATATAATTTTGCAAACTTTATAATATCATTCATCTATGAAGCTACTATTTAAAACTGTTGCTAATGATAGTGATAAGGTATATAAACCTACGTAAATTGCTACTTCAGTTATTTCCTCTTAACGTATAGACTTTTTTGATACAGTATCAAGGTACTAAGCTGTCTGATTTTTAATGAAAGCTTTGCCTGATTATGAACATTAGCACATCCTATCAGTCATGACCATGGACATTATCCCATACTCGGAAGAGAGAGAGTAATAACATTTGACACCTTGAACCAGATCTTGTAGGCAACCCTGCAAGAGGGGAGGTACAAGTGCCACATGCAAAGTGTGGGAATAGCTGCAGTAGTTGAAGTTTGCATGCTGTGTGATGCAGCCCCAAGACGCACCCCTGCTTTCACTCTTCTTTTGACAACCTCAGCTCTTTGGTTTTTATCAAGAGATTGGAAGGACCGTGGTGTAGGTAGAAGCAGAGGCAGTTCCACCATAGGAGTGACTCTTGATTCTAGCTTTTCCTCTAAATTGCTGTTGCTTTTGACTTAGGTTCAATGCCTGATACAGCACTGAGCACAATGATGGCATATCAAAATAATAATATTTGGCAGGTACAGCAAACACCTTACATGGGCTATGTCATATTTCTGAATGACAACCCTGCAAGGCAAACATCATACTACCCCCATTTTCCAGACCAAAGAGCTGAGGCTCAGGGAGGATAAGCCACTGAGCTGAGATCATATAATTAGCAATGAGCCTAAGTGGGGTTCGAACACAAGTAGTCTGACTTCAATCAGTTGGTTTACTCACTAAATCATCTTGTCTATAGTAATAAGCTATTTTCATCACCATCAGTGCTCTTCACTCTAGTGACCACTACAAATCATGGCTAAGTTGCAGGCCGACAAATGTATGTTGAATGCATGCTTGAACTATGCTTTTTGTTTCTTATTAAAAAAAAATCCCCTTTCTTTCACACACCCAAGACTCCAGGTATATAAAAACTATTTCAGTTTCCTGAAAAAGCATTTTTTTAAAAACATTTGTTAGTGCAGAGGTTCCCGACCCCTGAGCGGCAACTGAGACCTGTTGGGAACCAGGCCACACAGCAGGAGGTGAGCAGCAGGCAGGCGAGCGTTACTGCCTGAGCTCCGCCTCCTGTGAGATCAGCAGTGGCATTACATTGTCATAGGAGCGCGAAATTTATCATGAACTGCACATGTGAGGCATTTAGGTTGTTTGCTCCTTATGAGAATCTAACTAATGCCTGATGATGTGAGGTGGAACAGTTTCATCCCCAAACCATCCATCCCCAGTGTTCATGGAAAAATTGGTTCCACAAAACCAGTCCCTGGTGCCAAAAATGTTGGAGACTGCCACTTTTCTATGCCTGAAAAAATCTCATTTTTCCTTCCTACCTAAATAAACTCAACTTTCAAGTCCCAGGTTAAATGCCATTTTGTCTGTGAAACAGTCGCTAGCTCCTTGATTTGCCAACATTTTATCGATGGCTCAATTTCAGCACATATCTTTCTGTTTTGAACTGAGCTATGTAAGTATTGTCTACATCACTAAACAATGAGCTTCTTAGGACATGGCAATGTTTTCTTTTACTTATGTTTTCTCTGTGCCAAATACAGCGGATACCTGGTGGGCAATTAAAACAAGGTGAGTTACTGGATGAGGCTTGTGAGATGCTGAAATCCATCTCTGAGTGTCTGTGAATATTTTTTTCAAACAGAGAGCCAAATCATGAGTGAACTCCCATTCACGATTGCGGCTAAGAGAATAAAATACCTAGGAATCCAACTTACAAGGGATGTAAAGGACCTCTTCAAGGAGAACTACAAAACACTGCTAAAGGAAATAAGAGAAGACACAAACAAATGGAAAAACATTCCATGCTTATGGATAACAAGAATCAATATCATGAAAATGGCCATACTTCCCAAAGTAATTTATAGAGTCAATGGTATCCCCATCAAGCTACCACTGATTTTCTTCACAGAATTGGAAAAAACTACTTTAAAGTTCTTATGAAACCAAAAAAGAGCCCGCATTGTCAAGACAATCCTAAGCCAAAAGAACAAAGCTGGAGGCATCACACTACCTGACTTGAAACTACACTACAAGGCTACAGCAACCAAAACAGCATAGTATTGGTACCAAAACAGATATATAGACCAATGGAACAGAATGAAGGCCTCAGAAATAACACCACACAGCTACAACCATCTGATCTTTGAAAACCTGACACACACAAGCAATGGGGAAAGATTCCCTATTTAATAAATGGTGTTGGGAAAACTGGCTAGTCATATGAAGAAAACTGAAACTGGACCCCTTCTTTACACCTATTACAAAAATCAACTCAAGATGGACCAAAGACTTAAACGTAAAACCTAGGACCGTAAAAATCCTAGAAGAAAACCTGGGCAATACCATTCAGGACATAGGCATGGGCAAAGACTTCGTATCTAAAACACCAAAAGTGATGGCAACAAAAGTCAAAATTGACAAATGGGATCTAATTAAACTAAAGAGCTTTTGCTGAGCAAAAGAAACTATCATCAGTGTGAACAGGCAACCTACAGAAGGGGAGAAGATTTTTGTAATCTATCCACCTGACTAAGGGCTAATATCCAGAATCTAGAAAGAACTTAAAAAAATTTACAAGATAAAAACAAACAACCCCATCAAAAAATGGGCAAAGGATATGAACAGACACTTTTCAAAAGAAGATATTTATGCAGCCAACAGACATATGAAAAAATGCTCATCATCACTGGTCATTAGAGAAATGCAAATCAAAACCACAGTGAGATACCATCTCACGCCAGTTAGGATGGCGATCATTAAAAAGTCAGGAAACGACAGATGCTGGAGAGGTTGTGGAGAAATAGGAACACTTTTACACTGTTGGTAGGAAGATAAATTAGTTCAACCATTGTGGAAGTCACTGTGGCGATTCCTCAAGGATCTAAAACTGGAAATACTATTTGACCCAGCAATCCCATTAGTGGGCATATACCCAAAGGATTACAAATCATTCTATGATAAAGACATATACATACATATGTTTATTGCAGCACTATTCACAATAATAAAGACTTGGCACCAACCCAAATATCCATCAATGACAGACTGGATTAAGAAAATGTGGCACATATACCCCATGGAATACTATGCAGCCATAAAAAAGGATGAGTTTGTGTCCTTTGCAGGGACATGGATGAAGCTGGAAACCATCATTCTCAGCAAACTATCACAAGATCAGAAAACCAAACATTGCATGTTCTCACTCATAAGTGGGAGTTGAACAATGAGAATATGTGGACACAGGGAGGGGAACATCATATACTGGGGCCTGTCGGGGGAAGGGGGTCTACGGGAGGGATAACATTAGGAGAAATATCTAATGTAGATGATGGGTGGATGGGTTCAGCAAAACACCAGGGCTCGTGTATACGTATGTAACAAAACTGCACGTTCTGCACATGTAACCCAGAACTTAAAGTATAATAAAAATTAAAAAAATTTAAAAACCACATAAAAAAATTAATGAGTTATTTGTTTTGCCACTATAAAGTTTTTTTGCAATCCTTTTCAGAAGTGGTGGAATGGCATAAATAATATCCTCTTTTTAATGCTGTTATTCAATTATGCATGGACAGTTATATAAAATGTATAATACTTGTATATTTGTAGACATACAAGTATGCAATAATTTATTGAAATTAAATAATGCAGTTTCTTTGCCCATGTAAGTGCAGCAAAATAGCAACAAGTCAAATTATATTTGGTAAAAGAAATAAGGTTTTAGATTTAGAAACAGCAATTCTATCCATGGACAATAAATTATCTCCTCTCAATAAGTTTATTGTAATGTTATGTGTAAAAGGAAACTACAATAGCACATATATAGTTAGATTCTGTAAAATAATTATTCTGTTTTCTGAAATATACTATAAAACAGAAAAAGTAAAAAAAATGGTTCCTTCTGCTAAATAAAGTAAATTTTGTAAGAAACTGGGGAGAAGAAGAACCATCTCTCTAAACTTCAATAAGGTCTACATGACGAAAATCAGGTTGCACCCAGATGAAAATGTCAGCAATAATGGATTAGTTAACTGCATCTTCTTCTTAAAATACATAATTAATAGATACCAAAATCGGAGGCCTCTTAGTGTTTTGTATCAATAAAATAGCATTTAAAGCATCCCTCTGTTCTGAAATCTTTAAATGAGAGGAAGCACCTACAAAAAAACCCTCAAAAATAAAGTTGTATGTGGCTTCTCAGAGCCACAGTATGTTTTAGAACAAACAACAGGTAAACTTAGAAAAGCAGGAATTTCAAGAACCAGTAATAGATACTGTATCATAGGATGCTGAAATGTCATTCATTAATAATATCAGGATACAAGTTGATGGGAAGTATTGACAGCTGTGATTAAAGCTAGTCACCTAATTCCATGTGGACCACACAATGTGAAACAATAATGATATGACAGAAACCAGTGATCTAACTAGTGCACTAGAAAGAAGTAGGTAATGTAGATAAAATAGCACAGTTGAAATTTACTCTCTCGGCCGGGCACGGTGGCTCACGCTTGTAATCCCAGCACTTTGGGAGGTCGAGGCGGGTGGATCACGAGGTCAAGAAATCGAGACCATCCTGGCCAACATGGTGAAACCCCGTCTCTACTGAAAATACAAAAAATTAGCCGGGCGTCGTAGCGGGCGCCTGTAGTCCCAGCTACTCGGGAGGAGGCTGAGGCAGGAGAATGGCGTGAACCCGGGAGGCGGAGCTTGCAGTGAGTCGAGATCCCGCCCCAGCACTCCAGCCTGGGAGAAAGAGCGAGACTCAGTCTGAAAAAAAAAAGGAAAGAAATTTACTCTCTCTTCGTAGTTAATTCATTACCAAAAATCAACCTACTGAGGTGAGATTGAAAGAGATTTTATGAAGAATGAATAAAATATTAATCCTAGCTGCTATATACGAACAGTCTAGAGGCATTTCAAATAATAAGGAAAGTGTTTCCAAAATGATGAAGACCACAGACAGCAACACATATATTAATAATTATCAAACCCTGCCTCTGTCCCTCATATCCTCAGCAACACTTTACAATAACTGTAACTTCTCTATAATTTCAATTCCATGCATCCCATGTGGTAATCACCACTGTGGTCTTTCCATTCCACTGTCAGTGTCCCGTACACAATGATCTCCCAGCCCCACTGGTGCCTGCCGTCCGTTCATCCTACCATCCTTTTAATACCCTTCATGTCCTTACTCCTCTTCTTACTTGACTTGTACTTCATGGCCAATCATTATGATGACTTCATTGCCCCCTCTTGCTTTGTTGAACTTGTACTCCCTTGCCAAAATCCCAGTCTTGGTTACATCCAACTCTGCCTACTCTCTGTCTGCACCTTGGAAGCTGAATGTGGCTGGAGAAAGACACTGGACCACATTGACTGTCGTCTTGCTTTTAGATTCATGATCACGAACCTCAGGTGGTCTCTTAATGCTAGGCAATCACACTGTATTTCCCTAGTGCATTCACTGTCCCACTTTCTCTTAGACACCTTTTTCACCTGTTAGCATCTTCACCTGGATACTCTGTTTTTCTCCTTTTTCAACTATTTGCATTGCTATCTAAGATTAATCCCTTTGCTCCTATGTTAGATCCTATTCTCTCTCATCTGCTGAAGGGCATTGCTTCAGCAATTCTCCCCTCTCTCTCCTGCATATTTTTTTTCTCTCTACTGGGTCATGCCAACTAGCACACAAGCATGCTGTCATTTCCCCATCTTAATAACAAAACTTATAAACTTTCCTTGATTCCACTTCTCAGATCAGTTACCAGAACATTTTCTTTCTTGCATCGACATTAGATATCGATGCTCCCTTGGGTTTCTCCAGTGTCACTTACGCTTCCTTCTTCATCTCCTCTGCTGGTAGCTCCTCCTTAACTTTTTAATTTTTGAATGCCCCAATGCTCAGATCTTGATTATCTTCTTTTCTTTCTCTACACTCCACCCTTGATGATCTCATCCAGTCTTATGGCTTTAAATTTCACAAATAAGCTGGCGACTCCCAGTTACATATATCTAACCTGGATCTTCTCGCTGAACCCCAGACTAAAATATCCAAATGCCCTATTGACATTCCTTTTTGCTGTTTAATCTTAAACTTGACATGTTCAAAACTACTCTTCCCCCTCAAACTTATTTTACCCATAGCCTCTGTCTTCTCATTTAATGATAATTCCATCCTGCCAGTTGTTCAGGCCAAAAACCTTGGATTCATTTTTCACTTCCTTCATTTTCTCGCATCTTCAATGCAACCTGTCTAGAACCCCGTCAGTTCTATCTTCAGATTATATGTAGAGGCTGTCCTGTTCTTACCACCTCCACTGCGGTAATTCTGGTCCAAGCCACTGTCATCATTGCATGGGTGATCCAATGGCCTCCTAACTGGTCTCCCTGCTTTTACCCCTACCCCCAATTTCTGGCTGCTCAATTCTCAATACAGCAGCCAGAGTGATGCTTTTAAAACCTGTTTGAGATAGGATGACTTCTCTGTTCAAAACCCTGCACCCTGCAATGTGTTCCCATTTTACTCATAGTAAAAGCCAAGGTTCTTACGATAGCTCTAGAGGCCCTTGTATCAGTCTGTTCTCACACTGATAATAAAGACATACTGAAGACTGGGTAATTTATAAAGGAAAGAGGTTTAATTGACTCACAGTTCCACATGGCTGGGGAGGCTCACAATCATGGCGGAAGGTGAATGAACAGCAAAGTCATGTCTTACATAGGGGCAGGCAAGAGAGCGTGTGCAGGGGAACTCCCCTTTATAAAGCCATCAGATCTCGTGAGACTTATTCACTATCACAAGAACAGCATGAGAAAGACCTACCCCCCCGCCTTAATTCAATTACCTCCCATTGGATCCTTCCCATGACATGTGGGACTTATGGGAGCAAATCAAGATGAGATTTGGGTGGGGACACAGCCAAACCATATCAGCCCTATATTATCTGCTTTCTCTTCCCACATGTTCCCCTCTTTGGTTTCCTTTCTTATTCATCTAGCCATTTTCACTTTATTTCAGCAATATCCTAGCCTTTTGCTTAGCTATTTCCCCTGCCTGGAGCAATCTTCCTCCAGTTTTCTACCTGACAAATTCCCTCACCTCCTTCCAGTCTTTGCTCAAGGTCATTTTTTTTTCACTGAGACCTACGCTGATTTTCCTATCTAATGTTACATTTTGACTTCCTACCTCAGCACTCCTCATTCTCTCTTTATCCTATTCTACATTATTTTCTCTATATGCATTCATTACTTTCTAACATACCAGATCATTTACTAATATATTACTTCCATTGCATTTTAAATGTCCTCTACCTTTGGAATGTAAGCTCCAGGCAGGCAAGGATCTTTGTTCTGATCACACGTGTAACTGAAGTATCTAGAAATGAAGGATGTGACGCTGAGTCAGGGCTCAATACATTTTTTTTTTGAATGAATGAATGAATGAACCTGAATGAAATTTTGTGTGATGTTAAATGTTTTCAAAAATTATATCTGAGTTTAGATGGATACATTAAAAACACAGAGAAATTGCACATAAATCCCTATTTTTAGCATATTTGATTTTTCTTTTGCAACTTCTAAGAGATATCATATCTCCCACCAAATTATTAACTTTGGTTTCGGATGCATGCTGCCATCTAATGAGGTAAATATAAATTACATAAATTTCATTTTCTTCTGCTGTTTCTATAGCCTTGAAGGGAATGTTAACTTGCAAATTCAGATCCAGATCTTTGAAAGCATGCAAGTAGAAGCATGCAAACAGTTCTCTTGAAGTCTGAAAGCACCCAATGTACAAAGCTGATGCAGAGTAAAAGATTATATCAATTACAAATGTATTATCTCTACTTCAAATAACATTTGCACAAGAAAATGAAACAAATCATTTTATGGGTCACACTTTTGTTTACAAAATAAACCTCTAGTTTGACCTTGTACTGACCTGAAACACGGGGAATTTCTTAACCATAAAATGGAGCCTCCAGGGAAGATTTGCAGGAGATGTAAGAAAGCGAAAGTGAAGAACTGTATTTTGTTCTCTACACCTGGGAATCTAAAGCTCACCTGGGGCTGGACTTTTAGAGGTAGTAGACCACAACTGATTTTATTCAGAAGCCAACTTTGCATGAAATATCTTGCAGGTCTATAGATATGGTTAAACTTTGAGAACGTTGTGACAAAGGAAGATACTGAGGGGGCAGAGTCTATTTCATGACCTTGATTGAGTATGCAGCAACATTCTGGATCAACTAAATGAAGACTCGTTCATAACTTAAAATATCATATAAAAATTTAGATCAGTCATAGTGGCTAATGCCTGTAATCCTGGTACTTTGGAAGATCAAGACAGGAGGATTGCTTGAGCCCAGGAGTTGGAGGCTGCAGTGAGTTATGATTGTACCACTGCACTCCAGCCTGCATAACAGAGCGAGAGTCTGTCTCTAAAAAAATTTTAAAAATTAAAGCAATTATATTTAATTCCTATGGATCCAATACCTATCACTTAATGTATTATGGGAATATATGAGAGTCTCTCATGGGCTAAAAAATTAACCACAGTATGTTGGCAATTTCACAGACCACCTTAATTCATTTTTCCTGGTGTTTTTTATGATTGCTAAAAAAGGAGTTTTCTCTACTTTTTGAATTTTTTTAACTTAAACTGTGTATGTGTAGAACATATGTAATCTTGAATTAGGAATTGATATCTTAAAAAGTCACCTTTATGTATAAACCACAAAACCATGTCATTATTTTTTATTAAGATAATCCAAAATAATAATGTTAAGGCCTTTGGCTTGTTTATTCTTCAAAATTAATTTAATAGAAAATTCCCTAACCTTTAGTGATTGAATGGCATCAGATACAAAGTTAAAATTCAGCAACCTGGCTAAAATTCTATACAAAACACAAATTGCTACTTAATTGCATTTTAATAAATCCATTCCCTTCAATTCTTTTTCTTTTTTAATCTATTTTTCTTTTGGGGGGGTTTCTTTTTTTTTTTTTTCCTTTTCTTTCTTTCTTTTTTTTTTTTTTTTTGATACAGAGTCTCACTCTGTTGCCAAGGGTGGAGTGCAGTGGCACAATCATGGCTCACTGCAGCTTTCACTTCCTGGGCTCAAACGATCCTCTCATCTCAGCCTCTTGAGTAGCTGGAACCACAGGTGCGTACCACTACACCCTGCTATTTTTTAAATATTTGTAGAGTCAGGGTCTCATTATCTTGCCCAGACTAGTCTCGAACTCCTGGGCTCAAGTGATCCTCCTACCTTGGCCTCCCAAACCGTTAGGATTACGGGTGGAAGCCACCATGCCCAGCCTCTTCCAATTATTTTTTATCAAGTATCTAAAACTAAATTTACTAAGAAAACATTGGTATATAATTCCAGATCATTGTTATTTTAATTGGTGCCCCTCATAGTATGACAAACCCTTAGGGAGCCTCTGGGTCAGTATTTCAACTGACCTAAATTGTTTCTCTCTTCCTTCTTCCTCTATAAATCATTTTGCCTCCCTGAGTGGTTGAAATCTCAATTCTGTTCTTCCTGTCTTCTGTCTCATGCCTGAAGACTGCATTAGAGAATTATAATAATCTACAGTATTATATGAGTGGCAGAAACACTGCTCTAAGTAACCGAAAAGACTCTGCTTGTATAACTGAGTTGTCCCTTACAATGTTGTTGGTCTTGACTTTGCTTCCGGAATGAAATACTAATTAAATCATTTTATAATATGAAAACAAAAAATAAAACCATTTTATTTTTATATTCCCAGAAGTAATAGCAATCTATCGATAGCTTTTTGGAAGTTTCTCAGTTGACATTTCTGTCGGAAAAATGTGAGTCATGTATTATATTGTTCCCTTCAAGTAATTAATATACAAGTCAAAGCAAAAAGTTGTTATAGATGCTTATTATCTTTCATGACCTTTTGCTGTTAGAAATTTTTGTCTTTTTCAAATCATTTGAAATTTACCTTCAGATAGTGTATTTCTTTTTTCTGTTTCAATACCAGCATATATTTTAGAGTATATAATAACTCGAAACAAGCAGAAACTCACTATAGATGTTGTCAGGTATCCTCTTCCCTGTTCAAATCTTCTGTTCATTCCTCCCCAGATTGTTCATTTGGTCGAAGTGTTTAACCCTCCCAGATAGATGAGAACCATCCCTTGTCAAGGACATGAGTGACTATGAAGGCTGGCTGCAAACTCAAAAAAGGACTGAGTCAGAAGGTAATTGAATCTTTCCGATTTCAACAAATAGTTAAAGAGCATTGAATATGTGTGACCCATTTCTGAACCAGAGCATGGAAAAAGAAGAGCTGTAGAATTTGCTCGTCCTTGTGGACCTCAGGGTTGGTCTAATCCTTATTGATGCGATGTGGTTAAAAGGCTAAATTTCACAGAGACAGTCTAAAGTGAACAAATAACCCATATGTTTAATGAGGAAACAGAATACTATTGAATTCATCACCAACAACTAGAATTAGCCCTAGGCAGTGCGTAATCACCAACATAGAATAATGGTATTGGCCAGTTACCAGGGAATAAGGAAATTTTTGTTCCAAACAATGGACTTCCTCCTTAGCACAGTTCTATAAATGTTCCTGTCTAGCAGCAAAATGCCTATTTCTCCTTAGTGTTTGACTTAAAATGTAACTTCCTTGTTAAACCTAATCTCCAACTCTGGGCATTTATCACCACATTGAGCAAAATAAGGATTTTTTGCATGTTCTTATTTGTGTGTGGCTCTCTCACATTAGACTGTAAATTTTACAGAGCTGAAACAAAGTCTTTTTTGCTTATTGCATCTTCATTGCCTGTCACACCGTTCTTAGTTCATAATAAACGTTCAGTAAATAATTGTTGAATAAATAGAACCGATGACAGTTTTTATTTGTGCCAAAAAATGCTTTAGTATAACTAGACATATCTGAATTCCGGTGATGAGCACAGCGTATGTTCACATATGATCTCTTCTTCTGCTTCCATACACCCATGTCAGAAAATAATACACATGTGAAGTAAGAAGGGCTGGGACACATTGAAGGTGAGCTAATGGGGGGCACAGCTTCTTTAATTACAACAATTTAGAACAGAAACAATCCCTACCGTAAGAGTCTTGCTAACCTGGCAGGAGGCAGCAGAATCAGCAAGGTGTCGTGGAAAGTGTGATCACTGGCTAAGACTCAACCTCCAGCTACTCCATTTAGTGAATACAATGACCTTGAACAAGTAACTTAGCTTCCATGAGTTTCAATTCCTTCGTTTGATAGATGAGGGGGCTTGACTAGATGATGAATAGTTTATTCCTATTTATCAATTTTTGTTATGCCGTAGACTCTTCAATAGCCATGGACACAGAGATTTGATTTTTCTTTAGCAATAATACAAGACAAGTAGAGATGATGGCTGCCCTAGAGATCTTGACACTCAACCAAAAAATGTAAAGTCAGGAAACACAAGAACTTAGAAAATGACAAATCATATCTATCTATCTATCTATCTATCTATCTATCTATCTATCTATCATCTATCTATCTATCTACCTATCTATCTATCATCTATCTATCTATCTATCTATCTATCTATCTATCTATCTATCTATGACAAAAGCATAGATAGGAGGAAAAATCTAGAATCCCAATGTCCAAATCAAGCCACTAGGATAATTAGAATACTTCAGTTAACAATACTGCAAGTGCACTGCTGGACTTTATACTCTGCTTTTTATTCTCTGAATAATCTTCAGCTAGCTACTTGTTTTCTTCCATCACTCCTAAAGATACAAGGTCTCAGGAGTAACAAATCAAGCAGGCCCAAGTTCCTTGCTCATGGCCTGTCTCCTGAAATCTCTGTCTCTCTTTCCCTTTCTACAGAGAGAGCCAAGGCCTTGCTTCCTTTCTGGGGTAGCTGATCTGTTTCTGGGGAGGCAAAAATGTCAAGCATTTATCATATCTCATTTGTGACAAAATAACAATCTAGTGCATTATCTAATCTTAGAATTCTGAGGCTGGGTGATGTAGCTTGATGGCATGGATCCAGGCTTAGAAAACACCTCTTAGGCAGAACTGGGGGGAATGGTTTACGTGCCAGCCTTTGTTCCTGTGCATCTCAGCACTCCCACTGTTCTGAAAGCTGCTGCTCTGGGTTTTCCAGAGAGTCAGAGGAGGATGTGCTTTTCTGGCACTGCCAGCAGCAGCCCAGAGCCCCACGTTCTTGGGGAAGAACCATTTGTTGTCTACTCTTGCGCTTATTCCAGTGTCTTACTGCTCTGGGCTTTAGAAAATTAACATTTATTTGTTATACTTTAATTAAATTAATTAATTAATTAATTTATTTTTGAGACAGGGTTTTGTTCTGGTGCCCAGGCTGGAGTGCAGTGCACTATCATAGCTCACTGCAGCCTTGAACCCTTGGGCTCAAGTGATCCTCCCACTTCAGCCTCCTGAGTAGCTGGGAGTACAGGCATGTGCCACTGTGCCTGTCTATTTAAATTTTTTTTTTTTTTTGAAGAGGTGGAGTATTTTTTGTAGAGATGAGGTCTTGCTATGTTGCCCAGGCTGGTCTCAAACTCCTGGCTTCAAGCAATCCTCCTGCCTCAGACTCCCAAAGTGCTGGGATTACAGATGTAAGCTGCCATGCCTGGCCCTGAAATTTTCCTAGTGCTATGATGTTAAAAATGCATTGCATTGAAATGTGTACTTGTGACTACTCTTATATTGTCTGGTAGTCTCAAGGAACTCTTGGCTAGTAAGGGGGTTATGTAAAAGTTTCAAGTTGACTTGATCTCAATGAAATAAATAATCTGACATAATTTCAAGCATCCTTTTGTATGTGACTAAGCCCACTCTACTCTGCTAACTTTCTTAGTCCTGATCCCCAAAGTTTCAATTATATCTTGTAGTGTTTTATTTAAACTTTGTGATTACATGTGTATCTGTATAAAGTTACTATAAACTCTTTATGGACAAAATCTCCACAATAATTCACTTACTTAACAAATAATTAGGCACATGCAGTGTTCCAGGCTCTGAGTATACAACTGATGAACAAAACTCAGTTTCTATTCTCAAATAGCATATGACCTTGTGATGCACACATGTTACGTATAAAGATAATTATAGGGCAGTCTTATGAGGCATGGTATATGCACCTACATTCTGCCCTTCCTGTCCCAGCAGAAGAGTGGATGGGTACTCAGGTCGTCAGTGGGTAAGGGGAGAAAGTGTTACAGGTTTTTCAGAGTAGCTGAGAATGTATCTGAAACCAAGAGAAAGGGAAATTATTTTTTTAATACGAAAGGCATGAAAATGATATTTTAGGACGTGGGACAATATTTGAAAAGGAGTAGAGACACAAGCGAGCATGGCACATTTGGCAAGTGGAAGGTAGTTTGCTTACGATTGGTTCAGATTTAGTTTAGATTTTATCATTGGTGATATAGAAATTTTGGTATGAAACTGACATGATCAGATTTGAGCTTTAGGCAGATCACTTTGGTGGCATTCACTGTGGAAGATAAGGCAAAATATGCATAAAGGGATTAAATCTGTAAATGGTCAGCTATACATGATTACTAATTTCAAATTAAATAAAAGGCTTATGTGTTTAGATAAATCCACAAGAGATGTACATTTCCTCAGTAGGGCTCTGTTTGCAAGCTTGAAGCATCTAGCATTGATAATATGTGAACACATATGCCACTGGGTGGAACATTTGTTGGTTTACACACATAAAGACAGTGTGGATCTCAGAGCCATCTGTCAGATGCTTGGCTAGATGGTGTTAGAAAATCAGCATATCTTTGAGGTGGCTGAGGAGTAAGACGCTGAAATAATATTGAGTGATAGTCCCAAGATTTGAGAAGGACTTAAAACTATTTGATTCTTTAGGTTAATGGCCATTGTTTATTTATGTTTAAGTCTTACTCATTGTTGAGTAGGTGATCATAGACATAATGTAAGAAAAATGGGCAAATACTACTTCTGGCTTCCTTTTCCCCTTCCTTCTCCCTTTTTTGTTGTGTGTTTGATATCTTCCAGGCTCTGAGCTGCACGCCAGGGGGTTCACGAAGACTAAGATATAGATCTGATCTCATGGAACTCAATTTCTCTTAGAGGAAGCTGGCTGGACAAGAACTAATTACAATTTAGTTAAATTAAATTACTTACAATTTAATAAGTATTATGATAATGGCATACACCAAGATTTTGGAGAGCAGAGAAAAGAATAGTTCATTATTGTTGTCCAGCAGGACTGTGAGAGTTGTCACAGAGTAGGTGACACCTGAGCTGAGTGTTGAAGGTTGGACAAGATTTTCCCTTGTTAGGAGATAACATCAACAGGGAATTGCAGACTTCAGACAGACCACAATTTCCTTACTATTCAAAAAGAGCCCCTTGAATCTGTGTTCCATGATGCAAGAACATGAGGGCATATGTTAATACTGATGCAGGAGGCTCATTAAATTCTAATATTGAATAAAACTGAGACTTACATATGGGTATGATGCTGATATGGAGAAGGAAAAGATAAACAGTATATGTTGATTGCTACTATTTGCCAAGTGCTTAATATAACTGATCTCAATTAATCCAAACAGTCAGTTTAAGTGGGTATTAGTACCTATTCATTTGTAAAGATAAGAAAAATGTTCAAAGTCACTCAGTAGTAGCAACCAATATTTAGACTTGGTCTTTCTGACTACAAAAATCAATGCAATTTTCATTGTCTAGTTTCCTCTATGTGTCTGTCTTGGGTATACACTGTACATATCTACTTGTGTTATAATACTTGTATTATAAACATATATACATATAAATAAATACATAAATATACACATGTATATCTTATTTGTGTTATTTACCATGGTATACATCTATGTTGTTGGAATATTTTTGTTCACTAACGTAAGTGATTTGAAACTCAAATTTATTATGCTTTTCAAGATAAATACATTATTGAAGAATGACTTTGGAAACTTATGTAATGGACATTATCAGGCCTAATCCTTGTGTGAGCTGCACTCTTTTGTTTTATTTTGGTACAAAATATCAGTAGGACAGCCTGTACCTATATCAAGACTCAGCCCATCTCTGTGCCTTTTTATTGAGAGACTTTCAACACATAGCTCACTTACTGTTCACAAACACAACAGTTAAAATCTTTCATGTCAACAGGTTGGGGATCTGGCTGTTGAGTCAATGGGGGCATTTTGTTGACTTCTTAGGGTTTTTACAAAGGAGATCAAAGGGATGCATTATGTTTCAATACATAACTTTATAGGACAGATGGAATCCACCTTGAAAGACCCATGACACTTAAAGCCAGATTATCAAAAGTTTCAGGCACTAAAACCTATTAGCCTGCTCCAACCTGATCCTCACACTGTCAACCCTTTGTAGCTTCATTTATAGGTAGTGGACAGTCCGATTTGAATATTAACTACTGCCAAAGTTCAGTCACGGGTTAGAAGGGTGGCCACTGAAATATGGGTTGTTAAAATAATGCTTTTGTTTGGTATGAGGACTTCCTCTCTTAAATGGTGATATCACACAAATGACTAAGTCACTTTATTTGAATTAAAAAATTACCCACTTGTAAGTTTTGGGAAGAATTCCAGAGCTTAGAATAGTATTTGGCTAGGTGGTAACTTTGCAAATCTGTTCTATCTCTGATGAGAAAAGAGCATGAAAGAAAGTTGTTCATGCTTTCATCTTCCAGAAACTCCAAAGGGATTCTGTTTCTGCCCACATCTAACACTTGAAATACACACAACCTTTGAGTTTCCACCCCTCAAGCCTTGAAACAGATTGCAGTGTAACAAATGAGGGTGGTGTACTTGAGTATTCCTATTTTTTATCAGTGAAATAAATGATTTCTCTTTATACAAACTATTAATGTTTGACAAAAATCTTGTTTTGTAAAAACCAGTTAGCTATACCATATATGTAGTAATTGAAGACAACTGTTTTATAAATAAAGATACTTAAAAGACATCGTTTGATGACATAGGAATTTAATCCAGTGTTTGAAACTATCTTTAAGTGTAATTAAGTTCCAATTGTCTTAACATATACAAAGTCTCAGTACTATATTACCTATTATGCATACTGTTCTTTCAAATGGTGTTGTAAAGTGGAAAATTTTCATTTTTCTATAATGTGGTACTTCAAGTTGTAAATTATTAGATTTTAAAATTTGTCTTGTACTTTAAATAGTTTGATTAAACATTTTCCCAAAAAGATAGTATATTTGTTCATTTTGTCATGATTCATCTATTTATTAACTCGTTTTTAAAAAAGTAGATTAAAACAATTATATATTATTTAAAAAGTAGTCTGAATACATAAGGTACCACATTAAGTATGCAAATATTTAAGCTCTATAAATGACATGTCTTTGTCTTTCAAAAGTATTTTTTTCGGAGATATATATGCTGTATTTACGCTTGATAAATTTTCTAGTAATAAGAACTGCTTACCAAATGAATTGATTAGGCTCTGTGTCCCCACCCAAATCTCAACTTGAATTGTAATCCCCACATGTTAAGGGAGGGAAGTCACTGGATGATGGGGTGGTTTACCCCATGCTATTTTGGTATGTGAACTTGCTTGTATGTGATAGTGAGTGAATTTTCACAAGATCTAATGGTTTTATACACGGTAGTTTTTCCTGCATTCTCTCACAAGCTCTCTCACCTGCTGCCATGTAAGAGGTGCCTGCTTCCCCTTCGGCCATGATTTTAAGTTTCCTGAGGCCTCCCCAGCCTTGTGGAGCTGTGAGTCAATTAAACTTCTTTCCTTTATAAATTACCTAGTGTTGGGCAATTCTTTATAACAGTGTGAGAATGACCTAATACACCATACATGCTACAAAATGTCATAAGTTTAGTTTGCTTTAAATAATAACTTGTCTTCTTTTGGTGTTTTTAGAAACCTACTTTTTTTTTTTTCCAGTTTGGCTAGGAGAAATTGTGAATTCTGTTTTTTTTTTTGTTTTTCGTTTTGATTAATATAAAGTTTCCTTCCCAGCATGTTGCCAGATATATTCTATAATTAAACATTTAAATCTTGTAATATAGGGCAGTTTGGTTTGCCTGTCCTTCTTAGTGCCTCTCTGACAAGTACTCTTTTCCATTTCTGCCTTGTGGGGACCCATCAGGAGAAGAAGAGGTTAAAGGCATCCACCCACCCAGCAGGTGTGTATGGAGAAATTTCTGTCTTCCTTTGTTGGAGGCCCTGAAAGTACAGGTGTTGCACATCGGCGTCATCATTCTGTTTGATAGTTTGGTTTTGCGTGTGTCAGGTGGGGACATTTACACTAAATCTGAAGGGAAAAAACCTACATAACTTGTGTTGTCTAGGCTGAGAAGCATGAAACAGATTTTTTTTTTCTTGTTTTAAAGCTGAAAAGATTGGTGTGGCTTTACCTGTCAAGCTTACAGGTAGGAGTCTTGTTTTAACTTGACCATAAAAACAGATACAGTTTATTCCTTATTTAAAAAAAACGTTAAACTGCTCTAAATAGAACAGTAGGTATTTCCAGCATTTAGCCAGGAGTTCTTGGGCAGAGTGGAGGCCTTGCTCTAGTTGCAAAATATACTGCTTTTAAGACACTTGTATTTGTTCAGATCCTTTGGGTTTTAGCTATAATTGTACTTTGTTTTTTTATCACACTACCTGTCCCCTTAAATTAAGATGTATGTAGCACCAGGTCAGAGGCACTAAAAAAAAATTCTCCTTTAAAAACACAGAAATTACCTTTGGTATCTTTTGGCCTCCCTGGCTGGAATCCAGCTGTCACTTCTGCTCCATGATTCATTCTGATAATGTTAACCAGCTGTCGATTTAAAAAATCTATTATTGCTGGAGGTCACTGCAGGCTTTTTTGGTTCTTTCTGAAATAGCCAAACTAATATAATATTGACTTTGTATCCTTTATACCCAAATATGTTATTGTCATTTAAAAATCTAGGTGAAAAATATATCTATCATGCTTTGAATTACCTTCATGTCTGAGCATGATCCAAAAGGAAAAATAATTCTTGTATTTGCTTCTCATGGAAATGTATCAGGAAGGGTTCCAAGACTCCATAGTGTCAACCTGTGACAACAGAGATTTTCTGAAACATTTTCAATGTCCCATGTTCCTTATGAAAACAATCAGTTAACATTTCTATTAGGCGAGGGAAGAGGCCATGTGGCTCAACAAATGCCAATAATTTGGCAAATTATACAGCATTTATCTCTCTAATTAATTAAGCTGATCTCTTAAGTCACAACAATTGGTAGTAAGATGAAGACATATTCTATTAAAGGATTTTAAAATATGCTTCACACATTTTTAATGTTCAGTCTTGGTTATGATACAAATTAAATGTTGAGCCCTATAATAAGAAGGTGAAGATTGAATAACAATAATAATAATGATAAAAGCTACTATTTCTTTGGGGCCCAGTCTGTGTCAAGTAGCTCCGTTAATCTTCATACCAAAGACTATGCAAAGTATGAGAAAACTGAGAACAGGAAAGTTGTGACTTGAAATTGCTAGTTAATGAGTGACAGCTACAGTTTTAACCTGGACTCATCAATGCTCAAATAGCTTCTTTTTTCATCACGGCACATGCTTCCCAGTAAAGAAAAAAAATATTCTCTGTTAAAAGGAAAGAATTGTGTAACATGGTATTAGAATTAATTGCATTTTTAGGTTAGAATATAGTCATTCACAAAATCTGTATTGGGTTGACTTTATTACCAAAAGATTTCTAGCACACACATACACACACACACACACACACACACGCACATCCACACACTGCATGAGTGCTTTAAAAGAGTTAAGATAGTAAAACTAAATTGATGATATTATAATGCATGCCTCCTACGTGCTTGGTATAGATCATGTCATTTAATTATCACAATGACCCTATAGAGTAGATACTGTTGTTATTATTATTCCCATTTTACGCAGGTGAATGCACTGAAGTCTGATAATTTAGCAAGCGGAAAAGTCAGGATTTGAACACAGGCCTTTCTTATTCTAGGACGTAGGCTATACTGCCTGCTAGCCTTACTCTGAAGTTCAATTTTTTGCTGCACAAATTTGAAGGTACAGGGTTCACACGGTTTGAGGCTAAATTTATCCTGAACCCACGCTCTTTGGGAGGCCGAGGCGGGCAGATCACGAGATCAAGAGATCGAGACCACCCTGGCTAACACCGTGAAACCCTGTCTCCACTAAAAAAATACAAAAAAATTAGCCAGGCGTGGTGGCGGGCGCCTGTAGTCCCAGCTACCTGGGAGGCTGAGGCAGGAGAATGGCAGAACCCGGGAGGCGGAGCTTGCAGTGAGCAGAGATGTGCCACTGCACTCCAGCCTGGGCGACAGAGTGAGACTCTGTCTCAAAAAAAAAAAAAAAAGTGTGCATTTGTTTAATTAAATCTAACATACAATTATTTTGTGTGTGTGATCTGCCACAGTCTCCGAAAATTGTAAGAAAAAAGCAGTTAATTAAGGACTCTAGTGTCGTTACTGAGGTTTTACTGCACTTTGAATCACACCACTGGAAAATTATATAGTTAAAAAGAATAGGGGCAGGAAGGGTGGTTCTTCATGCTTCAGACATTGCCTTTCACCTGACCAGCCCCTTGCTCTGGAGTCAGTCAGCTCTGGGGAGAAGTATTTATACAAGTTTGGTCAGAGATAAACAGAATGAGAAACTGATGTTGTTTATATTTTCTGTGGTAATGTTACTGTGTGTTGTGTTTTCTTATGGATTTTAGGGTTATTTTGTTTTCACCCTCTTTCTAAGTATTTTGAGCCTTCCTTTTTAGTGTATGAGAGGATTATGGAGAAAATAGCTAATCACAGGTGGATTAAGGAGCTGAAATGAGTTAATAAATGTAGGGTGACAAGCTCAGTGTCTTGCTTGCAACAGGGACTCCATAAATGTTTGGTTCCTACTTTTAATTAAATACAGAATTTCCTCCTAATTGAAGCTTACCTTTTTTTTTTTTGAGATGGAGTCTTGCTCTGTCACCAGCCTGGAGTGCAGTGGCATGGTCTCGGCTCACTGCAACCTCTGCTTCCCGGGTTCAAGCGATTCTCCTGCCTCAGCCTCTCAAGTAGCTGAAATTCCAGGCACCCACCACCACGCCCAGCTAATGTTTGTATTTTCAGTAGAGACAGGGTTTCACCATGTTGGCCAGGATGGTCTTCATCTCTTGACCTCATGATCTGCCCGCCTCAGCCTCCCAAAGTGTTGGGATTACAGGCCCCTGTGCCCAGCCTTTTTTTTTTTTTTTTTTTTTTGAGACGGAGTCTTACTCTATTGCCCAGGCTAGAGTGCAGTGGCATGAACACAGCTCACTGCAGCCTCAATCTCCCTGGCTCAAGCTATCTTCCCACCTCAGCCTCCCAAGTAGCTGCGACTACAGGTTGTGCCACCATGCCTGGGTAATTTTTCTGATTTTCAGTGGAGGTGAGGTTTTGTTATGTTGGCCAGAATGGTCTTAAACTCCTGAGCTCAAGGGATCCTCATGCCTTGGCATTTCAAAGTGTTGAGATTACAGGTGTGAGCCACCACATCTGGCCAGGAGCTTACTTTATTTACATCCCGGCCTATTTTCCCACTTTTGTTTTCTGTCCGCTATAGTATGGCTATCTTTTCTATTCTATGAGGCTAGTTGATTAACATACGTGTTACAAAAGCATTAACTTGTCAAGATGACGTGTAACTTCTCTATCCAGGTCACTCTGTTGAGCAATTCTTTCTAACTTTAAAAGTTGTCTTTTGTTGACATGAATTATTATAGCTATTTAGCCAGGTTTGATCTTTGTTACAGAGTTCATACTCAAACTCATGTTAATAAATTTTAATTATATCATGAAAACCATACGTTGCTAAGCCTCTAGTGCATTCTACTACTGTAATTGTTAAATAGCCAATGTGAGTGTGTTTATAAACATATATGCATGTTTCCCCACTTTAAGCTGTAATATTTTTATATGATTAAAAAAGTTTCAGGTAAACTTTAAAGAAAATTATGTGCTCATCATTTTTTGGAAGTTAGTTGAATTTTGAGTTTTTGAGATAATTTCTTTTTCTCTCTTATTTTTAAAAATTTCTCTTGGAAATATTATCATTTGTTCTTTTCTTGATTGTCCCAGGATATTTAAAGTAAAGCAACATGTTAATACAAAGTATATATTTTTTGATAAATAAAATCAAATACATACATTACATTAAATCAAAGACACACAATAAAATAAAATACATTACATTTTTGGTAAATAAAATCAAATACATCAAGTACATATAAAACATCATATGTATGTTTCTGCGTATATGGTACAATGGAAATGCCTTTAGGTATTATGTAACCAGTTTTTTTCTGTTGTTGTTTTACTTTGTTTTTGTTTTTTGTTTGTTTGTTTGAGAAAAGGTATCACTCTGTTGCCCAGGTTGAAGTGCAGTGGGGCAATCACAGCTCATTGCAGCCTTGACCTCCCAGACTCAAGCAATCCTCCCACCTCTCTGTATGCCAGGCATAAAATCAGGTCATGTTAACTGAACATATTTAAATATGTAGGCATTTTCATGACTTCCACTAAGAAATAAAGTGTCTAATTTTTCTTGAAACTGATTACTGTTTTCATCAATCTGTCATCTTCTTACTTCTGAAAGGGAGGTTTGGATGTAAGAGAAACTATAGTGTGTTGTTCTAAATCTATAACAGGAAGAAAAATAGAAGAAGTACAATGATAGAAGTCAGCTGACACAATTTCACAGCAGAGAATGACAGGGACTGTGTCACACTAGAGAGCATACGGCCTGGCTAAAGGGGACATTGGATAAGCAGCTCGAGTTGATTGTTACTATTTCTGACTCTTTTAGAAGCAAGAAATTCACATATTTATGTGAAATCTTCCAATATTAAAACATTTCCAATGAATTAAGAACGTAAAAACACCATCCTCGCTAGAATGAGTCAAATAAAGCAAACTTACCCACAGGCCTCCAGTTTGTGGCAATTTGGCCTATTTTTCTTTTTTTTTTTCTTTTTTTTTTTTTTTTTGAGACGGAGTTTCGCTCTGTCGCCCAGGCTGGAGTGCAGTGGAGCGATCTCGACTCACTGCAAGCTCCGCCTCCCGGGTTCACGCCATTCTCCTGCCTCAGCCTCCCGTGTAGCTGGGACTACAGGCGCGCGCCACCATGCCCGGCTAATTTTTGTATTTTTAGTAGAGACGGGGTTTCACCGTGTTAGCCAGGATGGTCTCGATCTCCTGACCTCGTGATCCGCCCGTCTCGGCCTCCCAAAGTGCTGGGATTACAGGCGTGAGCCACCGCGCCCGGCCCCTATTTTTCTTTTCACGTGGTTTACCCAGCGAAATGGATAGGTTGCCAATCAGCCCAGAAATAATATTTCATTTCTCTCCAAATGTTTCCCTCTCAGGTAGCATCATTAATGACATTTTTGTTATTTATTGCATAGAAACATTAGCGTCCAAGAATCTAGGTTAGCTACTTTAAGGGTCTTTGTTGAGGCAAAAATTTTAGAACACATTTAGTCTACTTTCTTCGTTTTATAAATGAGAAGAATGAGACACAGGAGCACTTGTTCTTTTATGCTTCATTTTGTAGTCTGACCTGTAACATTTCTTTCAGAGGATTTTTTTCTTCATAGTAAATTTCACTTCAGTTCACGAGTCTTGCATTACCATATTTTCAGAATATAGTTTTAAAAAATTATCTATTTTGTTTACCAGGGGTTGCTGTTGTAAATATTGTCCACTTCCTCCTTTAATATCTCATTTATGAGAAACCTCCCTGGAGAAGCTTCTGGTAGATCTCTATGAAAGGAAAAGCATTGCTTCTCTGTGCAAGCAGGATATTTAGTCTTACGATCATTTGGCTTCTGCGTCTGACAGTGTTTCCCCTGTGCTTTGCCCTCTGTTGCCTATAAGTAAAGTCAGAGCCAAATTAGCAATTGAAATTAGTAACTGACTTTAAGGACAGTGAGACCTGCTTTTATTTGCTTAAACTTTCTCTGGATCTTTTCTACCCCTACAGTCTATTTCTCTGATTATAAATATTTTTATTAGTTTGCATTATATGTATTTCCATGTGTCACATGAAATATTCTGCAGAATTTGTGAAAAACACATGATTGTGTGGATACATAAACAAACACATACACACTTATATAAAACACTTCTTTAAAATAGGTTGTATGCTATTATGTTCTTCCTAGGTGTCTGTTAATTTTAGTAATTATCATTTAAAAAATTAATAACAGGCCGGGTGTGGTTGCTCACACCTGTAATCCCAGCACTTTGGGAGGCCAAGGCGGGCGGATCACCTGAGGTCAGGAATTCGAGACAAGCCTGGCCAAGATGGTGAAACCCCATCTCTACTAAAAATACAACAATTAGCCAGGCATGGTGGCATGTGCCTGTAATCCCAGCTACTCCAGAGGCTGAGGCGGGAGAATCGCTTGAATCCGGGAAGTGGAGTTTGTAGTGAGCCGAGATAGCGCATTGTACTCCAGCCTGGTTGACAACAGCGAAACTCCGTCTGAAATAATTAATAATAATAATATACAATAAACATGTAATTTATTTCCTAAGGCATTTGTTTTACTACCATGTTCACTGAACAAAGGATGAATGGTTGACTAGGCAAGTTCTCATTATTGAAGGCCAGGATACCATTTTTTAGAGTAGCACATAAAAACTCTTATGGAAATGGGTATCCACTTTGTATTCATGTGCTTTAGGGTTCATCTGTCTTCTCTACCTTGGATTATAGCGTTCCTAAAGAAGGCATAACCCTGCTTTAATATACTTTATACATTTGTAACCCTGTTTCTCACCCAGATGCTTAATAAAAGCATTTAGTGATGGGAGTAGTTGGCTGATGTTCATCTTATAAGGGAGAGTGCTGTTGCCTCATTTTCACTAGGAATGTAAGTAAACCAAAACATTGTTGGGAATCTGTAATGTTCTAGGTATTCTTTCCATAATCTTACTAACCTTTCAGTATTCTTACAACATCAGTTATTAACCTAGACTCTGACTTGCCTGAGGTCACGCAACTAGTGAGTCCCCAAAATGGAGATCAAACTTCATCCGTCTATGTGCCCCGCTTTGTATGGGATCACTTTTCAGCAAGACTAATTTGAGGAGTTTATCTGAATCAATTTTATGCTCATCTCCCATTAACCCAGCTGTGCGACAGTCTTTTAATGCTCAGATGAAGAAAAGATTTGGTAGGTTTGTAGGAGGTGATGTACAGTTAGGTCCGGTGAAAGCATGATTAAACACACTTATACATATTTGTCTCAATTGACCCCATAAAACAAAATCCTTTAATTTATAACAATTAGAGTAATTTAGGATGCAATCTTCCTTATAAAGGTGTTTAATTCAACTCCAAGTGCCCCTGGTTTGGTTAATAATTTTGAGTATAAAACATTTAAATTCCTCGTTAAATATAAAAGAGGAACGCCCTTTGCCTTAAACACAGTCTCAAGCTATGCCCCGACCTTTCTCCTAGGACCCGTGACTTATTAATAATATTAAACATGTGTTACCTACTCTACATTTGGATCTACTGGACTGTGTCTCTTTACATACCTATGACAAATGATTCTTTTAAAATAGCAATTATTTCTTATTGGCTTGTTTCTAAACAGCAACTATATAATTAAGTTAACAACTTAAAATGATGGTTATATCATTTTAGAATAATTGTTTTTTTTTAAAATAGATTACTCGGTGACAAATGGCTTACCTACTGGCTCAGGCAAATATAACTTTGCGTTTAAAGTCCTAAAAGATAGGAACTTTGCTGGCTACTCAATTTTTCCATTGTGTTTAATGCCATGGTAAATAATTTAAATTTCCAGTAAATAATTAACCCCAAAAGATTACTATAGGAAAAAATAATTTCAACAGACATTTACCTTCTTCCCTTTGTTTGCATTGTGAAAATTTTCTATAATGCGCACGTGTTATTTATATGGTCAAGGAAAGGTGATGGCTATGGTGGCATTTTAAACAAAAAATGAACCAGTGAATCTATAAGCCATTATTTTTGAGGATCAAGTTATAAATGAGATAATTCCTGGGAAGAAAGCTTATGTTTTATGGCTTTTTGTAGATTGTTTGGAATTCATTTACAAAAAAGCAGCATGAATACAGAATAAACATGTTGTACTAAGGATTGATTTCATATTTCAAGATTTTTGTATTTTATATTTATTGGGGGAATTAAAGACCCCAATTCTGTTGTCAATATTATCTATGCTGTGTGGAGTAAAAAGATCTTATGACTTTTCAAGATTGCCATTTTAAAGTCTATAAATTTGGTTGAGACAAAGTGCAAGAATAACTTAGAAGGCTGTGAAACAAAATCTGGACTTAACCCTAATGGTGTGTTTTTAACCTAAGGACTCAATATGAAGTGACTATATCAGATTGGAATGAAAAAAAAATTCAGCCTTGTATCCATTGGGATTTATCTGAAAAAAAAAATCTCAGTATTTATTATCAATAGGTTTTAAAAATATATTTTGATACTCATTAGTTCACCTACAAAATAGATAGAAATTAATCTGTAGAAGAGAAACCTCTTTGAAACAAGTAGGGGCACACAGGGATTTAAGATGATATCCCTAATGAAATACAGAGCTTCAGCTCTGTGGGAAAATTAAGACTTGGGCCAAGAATCAAAGAGGAGCTGAATAGCCTTCAGAAGGCGTTTTTATAGTGTGGGATCAAGGAGGTTTCATCTGCTGAAGTGCCTAGGACTAGTAATGGTCTGGTAATCTATGAGGTGCTTTTATATTGTTTTCTTTGCAGTTTCTGAGACTGTTAAAGCTCAAAAGTAAGAGGCTGCAGGCTGGAAATCAGAGGGACTCTAGATGCAAGGTGTTCCACCTTATTTCAGTGTCATACGATGTTCAGGAGAACATGGAATGCTTTTAGGGCTTCCTTAAAGGTTAAAGATGTTAAAACTTTCTCAGCCACTTCAATCACATTCAACAGACAGAAAAAAAAAAAGAATAGAAGAGGAGGATCTAAAGGCATAGCGAGCTATTCTGTTTTTTAAAATTAAGAGTAACAATCTGCATATAATTTTTTTTGGATACATGGCATTTGATTCTTCCATAGCAAAGTGATCTTAGTGGCCAGAATAAATTGAGTACATATTTGCATATCAATTAATTGGAATGTTTATTGGAGAAACTATGCAGAATATCTACTCAGAATAAATATCAATGTTTTAAAACTGGAATTTGATCTTCTTAATTAAAAAAAAGAATAAAAATTATTTGTTTCCATTTTGAATGCAGTGGTGCCACATCTTACCAGAGGCTAATTTCTTAAGTTAGAGCATACAAATATCACATAGAGTCAAAATTACGTTGAAAATTACTTAGATGTCCCATGAGGTGGAGCATATATGGTTTTATATAAACAGCCTTGTATAATAATTATGTTTATATTAACATATATACAAATGAATATGCAAAGCATAATTTTATAGTATTTAAAATGTTTTCAAGGACATTTCCATTTTATTCATTTTTGCTAAGCACATATTTGTACAAATTAAATATGCCGCTGATGAAACTGTATTCTGAAGAAAAAACAATTAAATATGCGGCAGACTTAAAGAAAAAGCTCTTTGGTTTTCAAATGTCAGTATAGCAGGAAAACCAAAAACATAAATGTTGCTTTGGCGTATTTAATATATATTACCATTCTGTTGATTAGTTAAATCATCACCATTGGTCTCAACAGGGCTATCCCCAGGAAAGTGCTGAGTGCTCTAAAAAACTACCCCAAATGACTTTGAAAAGACGACTTCAGCAGTTAGATCCGTAAAGTAAATAGAATACCCCTAATCCTATCATCTCCTTTCTGTTAAAAATTTAGAAAACTGACCAAGTAAATTATGGTAGTAAATAACCTACTAAGAATGTTTAAAATTCTAGTAAAAAGCAAAGCTTAAAAAATTTCTATACTCTTTTTATTTTCTATTTTTTCATCAACTGTCTATAAAAATCTTCTGAATTGAAAATGATCACCACTACCAGAAAAGACATAGTGTTTTTTAGTTAAATAGCAAAAAGTAGTGTTTCCTCCTATTTTACTTTTAGAATGCCTAATGGTAGGAAGAGAAGTAGGCTAAATCTAAAAATATGGAAAAGTTTTAAAAATATTTTAGATATACCCAAGGGTGTGTTACATCCTACTGCAATAACCTTTTTTCCTCCATGGCTATTTTGAAAATATGTGAATGATTTTAGCTATTAGTTAACACAACAGCATTTGGACTTGGGAAGTTTTCTCTTTTAAATTAGGCTGAAGTGAAGGCAGCTGTAGCCCTGGGTTTGAGTCTGGTTTCACTATATAATCACCACAACATGTGCACATCTCTCGTAATGGTCATTGTGAGGATTAAATAAACTTGAAAATTCTTTGTATACCTGAAAGCACTTTATGTTTTGGAGGCAATATTGCATAATGCAGATTAAGGGCTTTACTCTTGGACAGTTAAAACTTAAAACCCCAGCTCTTCAACAAACTGTGTTGTCTTTCCCAATTTACCTAACCTCTTTAACCCCAGATGAAACATGGACATGAAAATATTATCTACCAAATGAGGATGTGCAGATTAAATGAAATAATGCATGTAAAGCTTGTGGTCCAATGCCCAGCACATCATTTGCTACAAAACTTTCTTAGTTCCTGAGAATCTTAGAATTATGCTTTAAAAACCAAACACTGGACACCTAACATGAGCTGGTTCAATGTTCGGTGTTTGATTTTTAATGCATCATTCTTTAAGATTTTTAGGAACGATGAAAGTTTAATAGTAGATGTACACGTGCACGCAAACATTTTCTTATATAAATCTACAAATTATAATAGTTTTGAATACCTTTAAAAATAAAATTTAACACAATTAAAACAACAACCAAATAATATATTGTTCATTAATTGTACCCTGATTGCTTGAATTTTCTACTACCTGCTGCATTTCCCAAAAACTCAGCAACTGACTGAAAATATCTTTCAGTCATCTGATATCAACCCAATTCATAAAGCCAAGAGTATATTTTTCTGAGAGGACCTAGAACAGGCTTACTTTGTTAATGTGTGTGTGTGTGTGTGTGTGTGTGTGTGTGTGTGTGTGTGTGTAAGGGAGCTGTGGATCATAACTAACCAGTCTTAAAGTGGGCTATGATTTGTAATAGTTCAAATCTTATTGAAGTCATTTGCTTACATTAAATAGGTGATTTCTAGCCATGGCCAACATAGTTTTAAATGTAGAGCACAGCTTCCTGCAATTAATTTAAAAATTCACAAATTGCATCCCATTTGCTTATATCTAAAGAAAAATAAGATTTTAAAAATATGACTGGGTTTTAAGCCATGAAAACTGCATGAAATCTAAGCATATGAATATAATTCAAATATACTGCGACTTGTTGATAAGCCCAGTGGTTTCATGTGGATTCAAGAGTTTGGTTCAAATTAACCAATGCTTAAAAAATAAAAATGTAAAGAAGAACATTTTGTAACCTCCTTATATATTTTACCACTTAATATATACACACTACACACTTTATTTATTTATTTAACTTTTTTTTTTGAGACAGAGTCTCGCTCTGTCGTCCAGGCTGGAGTACAATGGTGTGATCTTGGCTCACTGCAACCTCCACCTCCTGGGTTCAAGCGATTCTCCTGCCTCAGCCTCCCAAGTAGCTGGGATTACAGGCACCCGCCACCACACCTGGCTCATTTTTGTATTTTTAGTAGAGATGGGGTTTCACCATGTTGGCCAGGCTGGTCTTGAACTTCTGACGTCAGGTGATCCGCCCGCCTTGGCCTCCCAAAGTGCTGCGATTACAGGCATGAGCCACCGTGCTTGGCTAACACTATACACTTTAAAATTCAAGAAAGTGTTGTTACATACTGTAATACACTTATTTATAAGCTCGTATAACTTTCATGCTGTGAGGACAAATGGCCTGGACAGCATCCACACCCTACCTGCTGGGTGACTGCCTTAAGAATGTGGCTGAATTGAGGCCTTGAAGCAGGCCAGTTCCTTCCCTGGGAGAATAGCTGGCAAAGGACCAGTCTTGGACCAGTTAACGATGACCTTTCAGTAACCACATCAGCATCTTCTAACACTTCCCAATTAAATTGATATTCAGATGACTTTTACATTTCCATAAGTAGAGAATTGCTCTTAACATTAGTGCTACTTGTAATCATGCTGAACTTCTCATCATTTGCTGAACTTAGGGCAATTAAATTATATTCTAATTATTTTAATTCTTTATACAACTATTGAATATTCAATATCTCTGTTATATACTGGGTAACAAAAATTATATATTGGAAGGCTACATTTGATTGAATGAAACCCAATCCTTCAGGCTGGCAAAGAAGCAGCATTTTATAGTATAGTTGAGCACACTTTTCTTGTCAGGGTGCCTGGATTTTTTATTAAGTAACCTCTGACTATCTTTATTTCCTCATGTGAAAAATGCAATCAATGCCAGTAATCATAATTATTGAATAAGTTAATGTGTATTTAGAGTGGTGCCTGACACATAGCAAGCACTTTCTCAAAGCAGTTTATTTTTTATTAATAAAATGAAAGCTGTATGCATACAAAGAGTATTTAGTGAATTTTAACAAACTCATTTTATTTGCTCAAGATGAATTTCAATAAGGATTCCATAAAGATATCCTATATCCTAAGCACCTTCCCACCTCAGATCTCCCCCATAGGCACTTTGTTTCTTCCCTTTTCTCAGACCTAAAGAGGTCTGTTGGCTATAAATGTCTCAGTGGTCATAGGGGTGTTTCTGCCTGTGGTAGCTTTGAGGGTGTAGATAACATTGGGCATTTGCTCAGAGGGGAGCCAGAACTACCAGCAGGTCTTCCATCTCCTCTACCTAAATTCAGGCATGCTTTAGCTGGGAGAACAGGCAGGGCCAGGCCTGGCCTGCTGGCCGCCAGAGATCCCTGGTGACACTGGTGTAGGGCATGGATAGGGTGTGTGATGGCTGACTGGCTTGGGCAGTGATGCCTGGAGCCTTGCTGCTTGAGTGAGCATTAATATGGTGGGGGGCAGAGTATTGGTGTGGGCTACTCATAGAACTAAGGACAGTGGCTATACTAATCAGAATGAAAATACTTTCAATATTTTAGTGATATGTAACAATTTAACAATATATAATGATATTGGTTGAACACTTTCTCTGATTATAGAAAGAGATAAAATGAGCTGACAAAATGTTATGGTTCAAGACATGCCTCAAAAGAAGATATGTAAATGGCCAACAAACGTATGAAAAAATGTTCAGCATCACTAATCAGGGAAATGAAAATTAAAATCACAATGAGATACCACCTTATCCCAGCCAGAATGGCCATGGCCATTATTAAAGAGTCAAAAAACAATAGATGTTGGTGTGGATGGGGTGAAAAGGAGCACTGACACACTGCTGGTGGGAATGTAAATTAGTACAGCCTCTAAGGAAAACAGTGTGGAAATTTCTCAAAGAACTAAAAGTGGATCAACCATTTGATTCAGCAATCCCACTACTGAGTATTTAACCAAAGGAAAAGAAGTCACTGTATCTGAAAGACATCTGCATGTGTATGTTTCTCCAGCACAATTCACAATTGCGAAGATATGGAATCAATTTAAGTACCCATCAAACAGAGTGGATAAAGAAAATGTGAGATTATATATATATATATATATACACACACACATATATATAAAATATATATACACACATAAATGTATATATGTATATATATGCACACACACACACCATGGAATATTACTCAGCCATAAAAAATACTGAAATAATGTCTCTTGCAGCAAATTGGATGAAAATGGAGGCCATTATTCTAAGTGAAGTAACTCAGAAATTGAAACCCAAATACCACAGGTTCTCACTTATAAGTGGGAACTAAGCTCTGGGTATGCAAAGGTATACAAAGTGGCATAATGGACACTGGAGACTCAGAAGGGAGGAGGGTGGAATGGGACTGAGGGATGCAAAACCACCTATTGGGTACAAGGTACACTACTTGGGTGAGGGGTACACTAAAATCCTAGACTTCACCACTGTACAATTCATCCATGTAACCAAAAACCACGTGTACGCCTAAAGCTATTGAAAAAAAAAGTTATGATTCAGTGATCCCACCTCTGTGATTTGGATAATATGAAAGACTTTAAAGCAACTTTCTAGGGGTGATTTAAGCTGAAGCAGAGACTTGACCATTAATATCAGTGTTTGTTTGTTTATTCAGCAACTTTTACTAAGGGCCTCCCATTTACAATTTCCTCTCCTAACTATGATAAGGACAGAGGAGATCAAGGCATGGCTTTCTAGATTCCCAAGTAGATAAAGTCATCTTTTTGCTGACCACACAGGAAGTTAAATGGGACATAAGTCTGTGTTTTGAACTTAAGATTTTATTATTTTCCTTATCTAAATTATTGAGTCAAATTCATGTAAACACATACCAGTAATTATTACTTATTTTAGCAGGAGCATAGAAGATGCTGTCACTTTGTTCTTTGGCCTATGTGTAGGGACAGAGCCCCAAGTTCTAGGATAAGGGGACTATAATATAACAGTTAAAACTTAAAGGCATCTATATCCAAGGAATGTCAGTATGTTGAAGAGATATCTGCATTCCTATGTTTGTTGCAGCATTATTAACAGTAGCCAAGATATGGACTCAACCTCAGTGTTCATAAATGGATAAATGGAGGAAGAAAATGTGAGATATATATATATATATGAATACTATTTAGTCTTAAAAAAGAAATCCTCTCATTTGAGAAAACATGGACAAACTTGGAGGACATTATTTTAAGTGAAATAAGCCAGGCACAGGAAGACAAATGTCACTTGATGTCACTTAAATGTGGAATCTAAAAAAGTTACATTCATAAAAATAGAGAGTAAAATGATAGTTGCTAGAGGCTGAGGGAACTGGGGAGATGTTGATCAAAGGGCACAAAATTTCAGTCATACAGGAAGAATAAACTAAAGAGTTCTATTGTACATCATGGGGACTGTAGTTAATAATACATTGTATACTTGAAAATTGCTAAGAGAGTATATTTTAAGTGTTCTCACCCTGAAAATATGTATGTGAGGTAATGCATATGTTAAAAAACTTGATTTAGTCATTTTGCAATTTATACATATATCAAAACATCAAGTTGTATACCAAAATATATGCATTTTTATTTGTCATTTAAAAATAATTTGAAAAACTCTAAAAAGCTAGTTTGCTAAAATATCCACAGGACTTTGTAACACAGTTCAGTATCATCCAATTTAAGAGCCTTGATGCTAGTCAGCTTACACATAGCTGAATAGAGGATAAGTGAAATGGAAGATAGTTCAATGCACAATATCCACATTAATCGTATTTATTATAAGAATTGAATCTGTAATGAAATACTTTCTCACAAAGTTCTTTGTCATTGGGCAGATTCTCTCTGGCATGCCCTCAGTAGGTTAGGCAACAGATATCCTTATAAGGATCTAGAATAAAGGAGGAGAGATGCCAGATATTACATGAAAGTGGAGGGGCTCTTTTAATGAACACATGTGAGACATCCCAAAGAACTTGCAGAAATAGCTAAGAGGGTATTTTAGCCAGGACTAGAATTTGGTAAGGAAAGAGCCAGTAAAATATCAATAAATGGATCTAACACTAGCTTACACATAGCTGAATAGAGGGTAAGTGAAATGGAAGATAGTTCAATGCAAAATATCCACATTAATCATATTTATTATAAGAATTGAATCTGTAATGAAATACTTTATCACAAAGAAATCTCTAGGCCCAGACAACTTCCCTAGATAACTCTTCTGAACATTTAATAGAATGATAATAAAATATAACCCCAATATTTAACACTTTTTTTCTGGGGAATAAACAAGAGGAAATATTTCCCAGTATGTCTTTTGGTACAAACAATATTGATACCAAAACCTGATAAGGACATTATGGAAAGGGTTAGGAAAGGAACTGAAGGGTCTGAGATTTTATGCTACATACTCTGACAAACACAAGACCAACTGGTCAGAGAAACAGATGATTATTACTCACAGCATGAGCAGCAGCCAGACTAGAATAGCATCCTCTGCTGATGAACCATGCCTGAATCCCCACAGGAAAAGCGATGAGGCGAGATGTTACTGGTGTCAAAATTAGGGGACTCAAGATACTCATTAAAAATTATCTTCAAACAGAAAAAAAATACGGGCCAATTATCTTTTAAAAATATACACAACAATACCAGACAAAATACTAGAAATAAAATCCAATCATGTATGAAAAGAATACATAATGACCAAATCAGGCTTATTCAGGACTTAAGGTTGACTTAATCTTAAACAAATTAATGGATTTGGGAACTTCTGCTTCTGACTAAGATGGTATAACATGGCCTTATTTATCTTCATATCATAAACAATAAACAAATAGGGCAAACAGGCTGGGAGTGGTGACTCACACCTGTAATCCCAGCACTTTGGGAGGCCGAGGTGGGCAGATCACCCAAGGTCATGAGTTTGAGATCAGCCTGCTCAACATGGCAAAACCCCGTCTCTACTAAAAATACAAAAATTATCCAGGTGTGGTGGCGGGTGCCTGAAATCCCAGCTACTTGGGAGGCTGAGGCAGCAGAATCACTTGAACCTGGGAGGTGGAGGTTGCAGTGAGCTGAGACAGTGCCATAGCACTCCAGCCTGGGCAACAAAAGCAAAACTCGGTCAAAACAAAAAAAAAAAAAAAAAAAGAAAGAAAGAAAAAAGAAAAAAAACCAAAAAACCAAATTGGGCAAACAACATATGAATAAACTGTTGTCAGAAATTGGATAACGGGTAACACAGTGTCAACAGACAGAAGGGAACCATGCAAGTTGATCCCTGTGATTTCCCAAGCTCTCCCTTTAAAAACATTCTGTATAGCACTGGAAGTTGCAGCATACAGCTCCAAAGAGCAGAAAGAGAGCTCCAAAAATCTCTAGAGAAGTCCTTATTAGGCTTTGCAGAATAATAGGGTAATAACCCATAAGACAATGTAAAGAATGGCCATATTGATGTAAAATGAACCATTCCAAGAGTTTACATAGAGCTGTGAGCTCTTTAAGTTTCTATCAGCTGGCCAGGTGTGGTGGCTTATGCCTGCAATCCCAGCACTTTGGGAAGCCGAAATGGGTGGATCACTTGAAGCCAGGAGTTTGAGACCAGACTGGCCAACATGGTGAAACCAAGTCTCTACTAAAAATACAAAAATTAGCCGGGTGTGGTGGTACACGCCTGTAATCCTAGCTTCTTGGGAGGCTGAGGCATGAGATTCACTTGAAGCTGGGAAGAGGAGGTTGCAGTGAACCAAGATTGTGCCACTGCAGTCTAGTCTGGGAGACAAAGGAAGACCCCCATCTCAAAAAAAAAAAAAAAGTTTCACCCAGAATATAGTCTTCATTTATCATCTGAAGCATTCGGTAGAGACATCAGAAATTTTTGTCATGCTTTAATAATAGAGATAAGCTAGCTATACAGTAAAAGCTAACCTAGATTTCTCTAATAAAGCTTAAAAAAACCACAGGTCTCAAAACAATCAAGCTTACTAGCCAGCAACTGAACTGCCTCTGAGGATAAAGTTCAACACTTTTTAAAGGAAGATGACAAAATCCAGACACTAACAACAACAACAATAAAAACACATATAAAGTGCTTACCATTTAATAAAAAATTACTAGACAGAACAGGAAGCAGGAAAATGTGACACATTAACTGGAAGAAAAATTAGTCCATGTAAATAGAACAGGGAATGACAGCGATGATGGTGTTAGCAGATATAATTATTAAAAGTACTATTGTAAACATACTCAATATGTTCAAGTATTTAAAGATAAACAAGAAAATCAGGAAATAAATGGAGGTTATTGAGACAAACTTCTAGAGGCAAAAATGCTTGCTGCATATGAAGTATTTACTAGATTGCATTTACAGCAGATTAGACATTGAGGAAGAAAAGTTTAGAGAACCTGATGATATAGCAACAGAAACTATCCAAAATTGAGGACGGAGAAAAAAAAAGTGCTTCAGTGACTTGTACGTACATGTAATTGGAGTCTCAGATAGAGGGGAGGGAAGAAAAAACTAGTTGAAAATTAATAACCAAATTTTTTTCCAATTTTGATGAAAACAATAAGCCCACAGATCCAAGAAGCCCAATGAAATTCAAGCAGACAAACAAGATAAACAAGAAGAAAACCAAAATACACATCATTATTAAATTGCACAAAACTATCAACATCCTATGAAGAACCTTTTTGGTAATTGAGAGGCTGATTCTAAAATTTATGTAGAAATCCCAAGAACCTAGAATAAGCAACTAATTTTGAAAAAGGTAAGTGAATTGGGAGCACATATGTTACCTGATTTCAAGACTTACCATTAAGAAACTACAGTAATCATAATAGGACACTATTGACCTAAAATGAACGTAGTGATCGACAGAATGGAATACAAAGGCCGGAAATAAACCCACATATATGAAGTCCATTGATTTTTGACATAAGTGCCAAGGTAATTCAATATGGAAAAGATATTCTTTTCAATCAGTGGTGTTGGAATAACTTCATATCCATAAAGATAAACAACATGAAACTTGACCCTTACCTCACATCAGACACAAAATTTGACTTGAAATATAAGAATACTAGGTCTAAGTACAAAAGCTAAGCCTGTAAAACATTAGATGAAATCATGGGAGAATATCTTTATATACTTTTGTGGTCAGCAAAGATGTTTTGGATCACAAAATGTACAAACTGTAAAGAAATGGATAAATTTCATCTCATTAAAATCAAAAGCTGCTGCTTTTCTAAATTGCTCATTAATAAAATGAAAAGGCAAACCACATAAACTGGAAAATATATTTGAAAAACCCATATAAGATAAAATATTTCTATATAACTATAAAGAACTCTTACAACTTAGTAAGAGCGCAATACAAATGAGCAAAATTTAAACAGACATTTCACAAAGGATAATCTGTGAATGGTTAATAAGCACATTAAAAAAGATGGTCATCCTCATAACCATTGGGGAAACGCAAATAAAAGACATACTGAAATAGTGAAACACATCTTTTAGAATGGCTGCAAATAAATGAGTGGCGTACAATGACAATTCTTAATAAAGATGTCAAACAACTGAATTCTTATACATTGCTGGTGGGAATGTAAAATGTAACCACTGTAGAAACTTGGCATGGAGTTAAACATACACTTACTATATAAGTCAGCAATTTTATTCCCAGGTATTTCCTCTAGAGTATAAAAATATATTTCTACACAAAGATTTGTGCATAATTGCTCATAGCATCTTTATTCCTAACTTTAAACTGGAAATAACATAAATGTCTAGCAGGAGATATTTGAAATACATATAACTGATGAAGGGCTTGTATCCAAATATATAACAAATTACTACAGATTAAGAAAAAGTCTATTGGGTTCAATAAAGATGAGCAAAGGACATGAACTGACACGTGATAATTTCCAGATGGCCAATAAAACAGAAAAAAAGATAGTTAATGACAGTAATTTTCAGGGAAATGCAAATTAAAACCGCAATGAGAAACACTTACACATCTATCAAAACGGGCAGTGTTAAAAATATCTGACAAGGTTTGGTGAGAGTAGAAAGCAACAGGAGCTTTCATGCATTGTTGATGAGAATGTAAACTGGCACACCTATTTTGGAAAACTGGTAATATCTACTAAAGTGAAACACACACACATCTTATGCTCCAGCAGTTCCACTTCTGACAGAAATGCAAACATATATACACCCAAAGACAAATACAAGAGCGTTCCTATGAGCATTATTCATAATGGTCAAAAGTGGGAAAAAAATCCAAGTGTCCATCAGCCGTAGAAAGGATAGTGGTATACACATACAATACATTACATTCAGTGATAAAAATGAATTAATGATTATTGAACATAATAGAATGGATAATTTTACAAACCAGGTTTATATAAAGGAAAACATAGGATAGAGTATATACTATATAATTTTAGTTATATAAAATAAAAATATGCTAAAATAATATATAGCTTTAGAATTTAGGATAGTGGTAACCTTTGGGAAGGAGGGCTGGAAAATAACTTGTTCATCTTCTACAACAGCGGTTTTCAATCTTAAAAAAAAAAATGCAGCCAGATCTTTTAAAAGCAATTTAACTGTCATTGTTAACCCCAAACCAAACTCAAAACATCAAGCACTTAAATGGTGAGCCCCCTGGTATACCAGAGCAGGAGGATCTGAGCCTGGTCTATGTTGCCTCCCTGTGCGCCTTTCCTGACCTTCAGTTGAGACCCATTTGACCTGGAAAAGTAGAACTTGATAGGGCTCCCTGAAAGAAAACTGAAAAGGGTTTAATTGAAGTTCCATTTCTGAAGCCCAAATTTGCTAATCTCATTCCCTCGTTTAAAAGTCTTTGATATTTCTCTTTGAAAGTAATACACATCCAACTTCTTAAACTGCATCCAAGCCCTGTAAGTTCTGGCCTTGGTCTATCTTTATGGCTAAACCCTGTATTTCTACCTTCTTATGGCAACTTCTGAAAGACTTAAACCATACCACGTATTTCCCAGGTGAGAAAGTACCGTTCACGTTGGTGAGCCTTTACCTGAACCTTTACCCATGCACGTGCTGAGCCTTTACCCATGCACATGCTGATCCCTTTGTCTGGAATCCTTTTTCCCCCTCTTGCCTATATCTAACTCCTGGTAATTGTTTCTTCAAGGCTCTCCACGCCTGTCTGTAAAGCTTTCTCTGACCCTAGCTGGAACAATGAGCTCTTTCTTTTTTTATTTTATTTTATTTTATTCTATTTTATTTTATTTTATTATTATACTTTAAGTTTTAGGGTACATGTGCACAATGTGCAGGTTAGTTACATACGTATACATGTGACATGCTGGTGCGCTGCACCCACTAAGTCGTCATCTAGCATTAGGTATATCTCCCAATGCTATCCCTCCCCCCTCCCCCCACCCCACAACAGTCCCCAGAGTGTGATGTTCCCCTTCCTGTGTCCATGTGTTCTCATTGTTCAATTCCCACCTATGAGTGAGAATATGCGGTGTTTGGTTTTTTGTTCTTGTGATAGTTTACTGAGAATGATGATTTCCAATTTCATCCATGTCTCTACAAAGGACATGAACTCATCATTTTTTATGGCTGCATAGTATTCCTGGGATGCAAGGCTGGCTCAATATACACAAATCAATAAATGTAATCCAGCATATAAACAGAACCAAAGAAAAAAACCACATGATTATCTCAGTAGATGCAGAAAAGGCCTTTGACAAAATTCAACAACCCCTCATGCTAAAAACTCTCAATAAATTAGGTATTGATGGGACATATCTCAAAATAATAACAGCTATCTATCACAAACCCACAGCCAATATCATACTGAATGGGCAAAAACTGGAAGCATTCCCTTTGAAAACTGGCACAAGACAGGGATGCCCTCTCTCACCACTCCTATTCAACATAGTGTTGGAAGTTCTGGCCAGGACAATTAGGCAGGAGAAGGAAATAAAGGGTATTCAATTAGGAAAAGAGGAAGTCAAATTGTCCCTGTTTGCAGACGACATGATTGTATATCTACAATGAGCTCTTTCTTACTCTGAACATCCCTCTTCCTCAGTGGTCTATAAAATCCTCAAGGACCAGAAGCATCTTTGCATCTTTGTATCTTCCCTTCTTTTCTATTAACCACAATCTCTATAGGGAGTGCATGTTATCCTATTCTTTTTGACGACATTGGACCCTTTTGAATAATTTTTAAATATTATGTTTTTAAATATAATGTTTATTCACCATCAGAAATTTCCTTTTTTTAAGCCAAAGCCATGCACTTTTCTACTTGTAATGGTAAGAGAGTAATCCTAGCCCAGCAAGAGGTCTGCTCACTAACAGATGTTGCTGCATGTTGATTTCAAAAAGAAATAGTGCCTCTTTAAGAGAACTCCAATTATGAACCTCTGCCCAGTCCTTAAAACTCAAGGAAAATTCTCCCTTAATCTTGGACTTTAGTCCTATTTTTTGAGCTTTAAATTCCACTCTAATCTCTTGTCTGGAATATTAATCTTTACCATTTGAAGGGACATTTTGCATTATTATTATTTGACTGTAGAGGTTAATCCTTAACTGTAGGTTTGTGGTTGGGGGCCTTCTTAGAAAAGCTGTATTTTGGCAGGAACCTTAACCACAAATATTTAGGGGGTTTTCTTTGTAGTTCAATGACCTGATAGGACCCAAGCAGAATAGATGATATCAAGTACTTGTTTATTCTTTAGAAGGCAACACCTTTTAGGGGAAGTCATTTTTTTTTAATTAAATACTCATTCACAGCTCATGATGATGATCTTAAAAAAATGCATTTTCCCTCTGGAATTCAGAAGTAATGAGAGTCTATTTACATGGAATGACTCTCAGAATTTTGACATTAAAGGATAATTCCATCTGATTGGTTCCACTCAAGTGGCAATATTGTTTTAAGAAATGTAGTTAGAGAGATAACAATTTACAGGCTGTAAAAAGTTACTGGGAAAATGAGTGTAACATTCTATTTTGAATGCAAAAGAATGCCTTCCATTTTAGAAGGCAAATTCTTAGAGGGCAGGGCCCTAGATTCTTTAAGGCATTCTGAAATATGCCATGATAATGAATGGATCGTGATAAAAATAATTTAAAATTGTATATTTCAAAAATATTTGAATATATGAATATATTGTAAAAACAAAACTTATCACCTGAAATTTTCAGCCTATAAGTTAAAACAAAACATGACAAACATGCCAACAAATTATTAATACTCATTTATTCTATAAATATAATATAAAACTATGTGCCATAGGAGCTTAATCAATACTTAATGATTGAGTAGCTCAACTTACTCAGATAAATGATGGTGTCTACTGATGGTTCTAATGGTAGCAATAATTTTTGCCACTCTGATAGTATAAATACTTACAGATTTCTTCTCTTTAATTATTTCCTTCTCTTTAATTCTTATATTTCCCTTAATTATATTTATTTCTTTTATTTTTCTTAATTTTGGACACATATATTTTCGTATGTCATAGAAAAACAGAATGAGAGAAAAGAAAGACTATGGCAATGGATCTTGAGTGATAACTCTGGAAGGGGCTCTATAAAATGAGTCCAACTCAAATTTATAGATAAATAAGGGATATGCCCTAGGTTACAGCTAGCTAATTGCAGGACATTTCAAGAAAATCTAATCAGGTCACGTGGCTCTCAATTAATTTCCTTTCTATTGTGTCAGACTTTTGAAAATGCTTCCTTTGGGCTACGTCATTGCTGATATGCATTTTTATTTGAGTTTTGGTTGCAGAAAAAGTTTTATGGCATCCAGCTTAGTCCCTAGCTGCTGTAGGGTTACCAAGGTGACTCTTGGGATGAAGTATGGATGAATTGACACAATT
This sequence comes from Homo sapiens, assembly GCF_000001405.40. Lineage (NCBI taxonomy): Eukaryota > Metazoa > Chordata > Mammalia > Primates > Hominidae > Homo > Homo sapiens. The sequence continues at coordinate 16,884,527 of NC_000008.11, read as the reverse complement.
TTCCTCTCAATTTTCATCGTACAATTTTAGCTCAGACCATCTCACAGACTAGGAGAACTCTGGGCAGTGAATTCATCTGTGACTCACTTTGAATTTTTAAAGAATGGCTTAAGTGAGGAATCACTGAAATAAACTGAAAATACTTAAATTTACATTTTGGTAATTCTTGACATATGTATACACCTGTGAAACCATCACCACAATAAAAATAAATAGCATATCCATCACAACCACAAGTTTCCTCCTGCCCCTTTGTGATCTCTTTCTCCTCTTCATCTCACCTTGCTTTCTACCCCTGTTCCAGGCAAACACTATTCTGCCTTCTGTCATATAGATTCGTTTGAATTTTCTAAAATTGTACATAAATAGAATCATAGAGTACACACTCATTTTCATCTGGCTTCTTTCACTCAGTATTGCTATTTTGAGATTCATCTATTTCGTATTGTATATCGATGGTTTATACCTTTTTATTACTGAATATTATTCCTTTATCAGATATACCACGTTTTGTTTCTTCATTCCTTTGCTGATGGACATTGGGTTCTTTCCAGTTTTTGGCTATTATAAAGAAATCTGCTATAAATATTCATGTATAAGTCTTTGTATATAGGTATAAGCTTTCATTTTCCTTGGGTAAATATTAAGGAGTAGAATGACTGGATCACACAGTAGGTGTAAATTTATCTTCTTTTGACTCTGACAAATTGTTTTTCAAAGTGACATTATCATTTTATATTTTACCAGCAGCGTATGGGAGTTTCAGTTGCTCCACATCCTTGTCAACACTTGGTATTCTTAGTCTTGTTCATTTTAGCTATTTTAATAGGTGTGTAGTGGTATCTCACTGTGGACTTACTTTGTATTTTTCTAATGACCAACGATGTTGAACATCTTTTCATTTGTTTGCCATCTGTTGAACAGATGAAGTTTCTGTTTAAGTCTTGTGTCCTTTTAAAAATTCTGTTGTTTGTTTTCGTAGTATTGAGTTTTGAGGGTTGTTTTTATATGTTCTGGATAAATTCTTTATTAGACATATGACTTGAAAATATTTTTTCTTACTGTGGCTTGTCTTTTCATTCTCTTAATACTGTCTTTCAAAAAACAAAAACTTGAATTTAGTGAAGGTCAACTTACAATGTTTTGAATTCAGTTTGTGGTATCTAAGAAACTGCTGACTAACTAGGGTCACAAAGATTTTCTTCTATGTGTGCTTTTAAATGTTTTTTAGTTTTGGTTTTACATTTAGGTCTATGATCAATTTTGAGTAGATTTTTGTATAAATGCATTTATTTTTATATGGATATCCATTTGTTTCAGCATTATAATAGAGACTATTTTTCCCCACTAACTTGCTTTTGCAGCTTCATTGAAAGTCAGTGTCCATATATGTGAGTCTATTTCTAGACTTTCCATTCTGTCCCAATGATCTATTTATCTGTCTTTATGCCATTACCATACTCTCATCATTGCTATAGCTTTATAATAAGGCTTGAAATCAGGTAGTGTTAGCGTGAATTTTGTTCTTTTTGAAAGTGAGTGTGTGTGTGTGTGTGTGTGTGTGTGTGACTACACTAGGTCCCGTGCATTTCCATATGAATTTTAGAATCAATTTGATAATTTTTACAAAAAAAAAGGCCTGCTGAGATTTTATGGGGATTATGTTGAGTCTTGAGTGCAGTTTGAGAATTGACTTTTTTTTTAAAGTTTTGCTATTTTAAAAACTGTTATTATTTTTAATTGACACATAACTAATTATACATAATTATGGGGTAATACTAAATCTTTTAATCATTAATTAGGTAAATCTCTCCACTTCATTAAAAATACGTCTCAGAAATGTTTTATAATATTCAGGATGCAGGTCTTGTGCAACTTCTGTTATGTTTTCCCCTGTATCATGTTTTTGATGCTGGTGTAATTTTAAAAAATTGAATTTCTGATTGTCGCTGGTACGTAGAAGTAGCTTTGATTTTTGTATGTTGACCTTGTATGCCATGACTTGCTAAATTCACTTATCATTTCTAACAGTGTTTTTGTAGTTTCCGTTGAATTTATGTAGATTTCATTAGATTTTCTACATAAACAGTCACATCTGGGAGTAAAACCAGTTTTACTTCTTCTTTCTTAAACTGGGTATATTTTATTTTATTTTTCTCATCTTATTGTACACTGGTCAAAATCTGTAGTACAATGTTAAATACAAATAGTAAGTGGACCTCCTTGTCTTATTTCTGATCTTAGGGGGACAGCACTTTGTCTTTTACTATTAAGTATGTTTTGTCAACTGATTTTTCTACAGCTACTGCAATGATCATATCACATTTATTTATTTATTTTTGTTTAACATGATGAATTACATTGACAGATTTTCAGACGTTAAACTTTGTATTCCTTGGATAAACCCCACTTGGTCATAATGTACTATCCCTCCTCTACCCCCTTTTTCTTTAAGAGACAGAGTCTCACTCTGTCACCCAGGCTGCACCCAGTGGCCATATCACAGCTCACTGCAGCATAGAAATCCTGGGCTCAAGCAATCCTCCCACCTCAATCTTCTGAGTAGCTAGGACTGCAGGCACATGCTACCACATCTGGATAATTGTTTTGCAGAGACAGGCTCTCACTCTGTTTTCCAGTCTGCTTTTGAACTCCTGGTCTCAAGTAATCTTTCTCCCTTTGCCTCTCAAAGCACTTGGACTACAGGCATGTACCATTTTTATATATTGTTGGATTCGATTTGCTAAAATTTTAAGAAGTGTTGCTTCTAAGCTTATGAGGAAGATTGGTCTATAGTTTTCTTATCATGTCTTGTCTGATTTTGGTATCAGGATAGCACTGTCCTCATAGGATAAGTTGAGAAGTGTTTTCTCCTCTTCAATTTTCTGGAAGATTTTATGTAGTATGTATATGTGTATAGCATTAATTAGGCAGTTCTTCCTTAAATGTTTGGTAGGATTTACCAGCGAAAATTTAGAAGGTAAGATTTTTTTTTTCCCTCTGCAAGACTTAATTTTGTATCCTTGGAGATGATATTGCCATGGTTGAGAATGTATGATCTATTGAATTAAAGCTTTTTCACCCATAAACGTGTATTTGTATGTTGTCGAGATATAACTGCATTTATTAATTTTAAAGCCCTCTTAATGCAGAACTGTGCACAAATATAGATAGATATGGTATAGAATATGATATGATGAAGATCCTGAAAATGGATAATAATAAGCTACTAGATAGTTTTTAAAGTAATAAATTAATAAATTTAACAAACACCAGTGATTCACTATGAATATGAGTTTAAAAAAATATTTGTGACAAAATGCACATAAAATTTTACCATCTTAAATGTTTCTAAGTGTGTAGTTTAATAGCGTTAAGTAAATTCATATTGTTGTGCAATGAATTTCCAGAACTTTTTCAACATGTAAAACTGAAACTGTATTCCCATTAAACAATTATTTTCCATTCCCCACTTCTTTCAGTCCCTGGATACCGCCATTCTACTTTGATTCCCGTGAGTTTGATTACTCAAGATATCTCTGGTCTTTGTGTGACTGGCTTATTTCACTTAGCATATTGTCCTCAAGGTTCATTCATATTGTAACATGTGTCAGAATTTTTTTCCTTTTTAAGGTTGAATACTATCCCATTAAATGTATATGCCACATTTTGTTTATCTATTCATCTGTTAATGGATGTTTGGGTTGTTACACCTTTTGGCTATTGTGAATCATGCTGCTTTGGACATAGGCTTACAAATATTTCTTTAAGACTCTGCTTTCTGGCTTTTGGATGTATGTTTAAGAATACGAATTTTAAAGCTGTAGTAATCAAACATATTTCCCAGGACAGAAGTGACAAAAGAAAAATAATGCTAGCTGAGACAAATCCTGGAAGTCAAACTTTATTCTCTTGCTGTGGAATTCTTGTGACAAAACACAGTATGTTTATATCCTCAAGTTTGAGGCTCATACTGATTAAGAACAAACTTAATAGTCTTCATGCCATTTCTTTCAATTCTCAATTTATATTTTGGAATATACTTAATTGGAATACGTGTTCAAATAGCCTTAAAGATAGGAAGAGATCAGTGTATTTCCTGTGTTTCTATGTAATGAGCATGGCTTTTTATTTCTTGTGTATGTGTAGATTATGTCATAGGATATAAAATTATTGGCTAACAATCTTTCTCCTGACGTGACTGTAGACATTGTTCCATTGTTTTCAGAATAAAGGTTTGTGGCTGATATGATTTGTAGTCTTTCATATATAGCTGAATACTTGTGGGTTTAAAATTTTATTCTTGTAATTCAAATATTTTGCCAGGATATGTGTATGTGTGGCTTACATTTATCAAAGGTGGTAAGCCCTGACTAACTGGAAACACTAGACTTTTGTTTTTTAAATATGGGAAATTTCTTCAGTTGTGGGTCTAGCTATTGTCTAGTTTTCCCATTTGTGTTCTTGAATTGAGTTTCTGTTCTTTGTTGTTTTTATTGATTATTATTTTTCTCATTATTTTCAGTTCATTGTGTTTTTTCTTCTCATTCTAGACAGTTTTTGAAGATTGTCTTTGGCCCGATTGATTTGGCTTTTCATGCTACCAAGTTCTGCCCTTTACTACCTTCTCTGTAAATGATAATTCTGCTACTGTATTTTACATGTTCTATAATTTCTCCCTTACTTCCCCTTCTTCATTTAAAATTTCATCATGATTTCTTTTTTATTTATTTATAAAGAAAAGAGGTTTAATTGAATCACAGTATCACATAGCTGGGGAGACCTTAGGAAACTTAACAATCATGGTGGAAGGCACCTCTTCACAGGGTGGCAGGAGAGATCATGAGTGCAAGCAGGGGAAATGCCAGACACTTATAAAAGCATCAGATCTCATGAGATTCACTTATTATCACAAGAAGAGCATTGGGGAACCACCCCACGATCCAATTACGTTCATCTGGTCCCACCCTTGACATGTGGATTATGAGGATTACAATTCAAGGTGAGATTTGGGTGGGGACACAGAGCCAAACCATATCACATATATACTGAGATCAACTAACATGTTTATGGGTTTTAAGTTCACTAATAATGAACTGGACTCTGGGTCACTGTCACAGATGAGAATTCCCATTGCTGGTGAGGAGGTATGTTCCTTTAGAGGAGAAGAGGTGTTCTGATTTTTAGAATTTTCAGCTTTTCTGCTCTGGTTTCTCCCCATCTTTGTGGTTTTATCTACCTTTGGTCTTTGATGATGGTGATGTACAGATGGGGTTTTGGTGTGGATGTCCTTTCTATTTGTTAGTTTTCCTTCTAACAGGACCCTCAGCTGCAGGTCTGTTGGAGTTTGCTGGAGCTCCACTCCAGACTCTGTTTGCCTGGGTATCACCAGCAGAGGCTGCAGAACAGCAAAAATTGCAGAACAGCAAATGTTGCTGCCTGATCCTTCCTCTGGTAGCTTCGTCTCAGAGGGCTACCCGGCTGTATGAGGTGTCATTCGGCCCCTACTGGGAGGTGTCTCCCAGTTAGGCTACTCGAGGGTCAGGGACCCACTTGAGGAGGCAGTCTGTCCATTCTCAGATCTCAGACTCCATGCTGGGAGAACCACTACTCTCTTCAAAGCTGTCAGACAGGGACGTTTAAGTCTGCAGAAGTTTCTGCTGCCTTTTGTTCAGCTATGCCCTGCCCCCAGAGGTGGAGTCTACAGAGGCAGGCAGGCCTCCTCGAATTGCAGTGGGCTCCACCCAGTTCGAGCTTCCCAGCCACTTTGTTTACCTACTCAAGCCTCAGCAATGGCAGGCACCCCTCCCCCAGCCTCACTGCCACCTTGCAGTTCAATCTAAGACTGCTGTGCTAGCAGTGATCGAGGTTCTGTGGGCATGGGACCCTCCAAGCCAGGTGCGGGATATAATCTCCTGGTGTGCCATTTGCTAAGACTGCTGGAAAAGTGCAGTATTAGGGTGGGGGTATCCCGATTTTCCAGGTACTGTCTGTCACGGCTTCCCTTGGCTAGGAAAGGAAATTCCCTGACCCCTTCCACTTCCCGGGTGAGGCGATGCCACGCCCTGCTTTGGCTCACACTCTGTGGCCTGCACCCACTGTCCAACAAGCCCCAGTGAGATGAACCCAGTACCTCAGTTGGAATGCAGAAATCACCCGTCTTCTGCATCGCTCACGCTGGGAGCCGTAAATTGGAACTGTTCCTATTCTGCCATCTTGGAACTCGGAAGCCATAATTTCTTTTTATTTCATTAATTTTCTCTTGTTGCTTTCTTGTTCTGGTTCTTAAAAATTATGTTCACTAGAAACCTACTAAGGAAAACCAAGGTTTTTTTTTTTTTGGTTTTTGCTGTAAACTAATTTTATAGACTGTTGATTTCTCTGAATCTCCAGTATGATGCTTACTTTTCCTTACCTGTGGGAATATTTCTCCCTATGGGCCCAACAATAACCTGCCTTCATCAATTTATTTTTTTCTGCCAAAAGATCTGGTGAGTGAATTTCTCTGCATCTCTTTGTTATTGCCACGGGCGCTATTAAATGCCCTCTTGAGACCTACAGTGCTATGATACTCTCTGATGAATTGTTCCCAGCCCAATCCCTAGTGTTAACAGGTTTTGATTTGTTTGACTTTGTTGGACCGACAAGGGATCTTCTCTTCCTGACACTTTCAACGTGGTATATGAAAAACTACTCCTCTAAATAAGTATCATGACCAGTCCTTTTCATTCACCTGGAGATTTAGTGTAATCTATAAGCACAATCTAGGAAACATGGAAATAAAAAGCCTAGATGAAAACAAAAGTCCTGTAAAATGCTTCCTATGTTGGCTTAAAAACAAATGTGAACTAATGTATCATAAACTATGTAGAAGGCCAATGGCAAATAAAATCACAAATTGACCAAAGCTGGTTGAGCTTGAAGCATGAATGCTTCAAATAGAAATTAAAATGTGTATAGAACGAAAACAGTGAGTGAATTCTGCACCAGCAACGGAGGTACCCAGATTCTGTTGTTGTGGCTGACTAGGCTGTTGGCATGACCCATGGAGAGCAAGGAAAAGCAGGGTGGTGCGATGTCCCACCTGGGAGCCACACAGGGCAAGGGGCGCTCCCACCCCCAGCCAAGGGAGGTGTTGAGTGATCGTGCTACCCTGCCCAGGAAACCATACTTTTTCCATGGATCTGTACAACCCGCAGATCAGATCAGGAGGTCTCCATCATGAACCCTTGTTACCAGGGCATTGGGTACCAAGCACAGAGTTGTGCAGATTCTCAGTGGCCACTTGGCTGGAGACTGCCTAAGACTACTGAGTTCTGAGGGGAGGGGCGGCCATCATCACTGCAGCTCCAGTCTGCCATTTTCCCCTTGCTGGTGCTGGGGGCACTGGATGGTTTGGACCCAGGAGGAACTCCCCACAGCACAGCACAGTGGCTGTGGCAGATCATGGCGAGATTGCCTCTTTAGGCCAGACCCTGACCCATCCCTCCTCACTGGGCAGGACCTCCCTGCAGTAATTTCAGCAACTCCAACCAGGAGTTTAGGGACAGAACTCTGATCTCCCTGGGACTGAACCTCTGGGGGAAGGGGCAGCCTCAATCTCCACAGAACAGCATACTGTCCTTGTGCTTGCTCTGAGGAATCTGGGCAGTCCAGATGAGTGGGATTCCCCCAGCAGTGTAACCCCTCCACCAAGGGGCAGGCAGAGTGCTTCATTAAGTAGGTCCCAAATCTGGTGCCTCCTGACTGGGTGAGACCTCACAACACCGGTCGCCAGACATCTTACACAGGAGCATTCCTGCTGGCCACAAGTTGGTGCCCCTCTGGGATGGAGCTCCAAGAGGAAGAAGCAGGCAGCCATCTTTGCTGTTCTGCAGACTTCACTGGTGACACCTCCAAGGGTGGGAGGGATCCAGGTGAATGGGGTCTGGGGTGGACCCCCAGCAAACCACAGCAGCCCTATGGAAGAGGGGCCTGACTTTTAAAAGAAAAACAAACAAACAAACAAACAAACAAACAGAAAGCAGCAGCAACAACAGTATCAACAGAAAAGTCCCCACAAAAACCCCATCCAAGATCAACAGCCCCAAAGATTGAAGCTACATAAACTCACAAAGATGAGAAAGAAACAACAAAACAATGCTAAAAACTCAAAAAGCCAGAGTGTCTCTTCTCCTCTAAACATTCACAATACCTCTCCAGCAAGGGCACAGAACTGTGAGGATGCTAGGATGGATGAATTGACAGCAGTAGGCTTCAGAAGGTGGGTAATAATGAACTTTGCTGGGCTAAAGGAGCATGCTCTAACCCAATGCAAAGAAGGTAAGAGCCATGATAAAACATTACAGGAGCTGTTAACCAGAATAACCAGTTTAGAAAGGAACATAGAAGACCTGATGGAGCAGAAAAACACAAAACGAGAACTTCACAATGCAATCACAAGTATCAATAACTGACTAGACCAAGCAGAGGAAAGAATTTGAGAGCTTGAAGACTATCTTGCTGAAATAGGGCAGACAGACAAGATTAAAGAAAAAGGAATGAACAAAACCTCTGAAAACTATGGGATTATGTAAAAAGACTGAACTATGACTAATTGGGGTACCTGAAAGAGACAGGTAGAACAGAATCAAGTTGTAAAACATACTTCAGGATATCATTCAGGAGAACTTCCCCAATCTAAAAAGACAGGCCAACATTCATATTCAGGAAATTCAGAGAACCCCTGTAAAATACTACATGAGAAGATCAACCCCAAGACACATAATCATCAGATTCTCCAAGGTCAAAATAAAGGGAAAAATGTTAAGGGCAGCCATAGAGAAAGGCCAGGTCACCTACAAAGGGAAGCCCATCAGGCTAACAGTGGACCTCTCAGCAGAAACCCTATAAGCCAGAAGAGATTGGGAGCCGATTTTCAACATTCTTAAATAATAGAATTTCCAACCCAGAATTTCATTTCCAGCCAAACTAAACTTCATAAGTGAAGATGAAATAAAATCCTTTCCAGACAAGCAAATGCTGAGGGAATTCATCACCACCAGGTCTGCCTTGCAAGAAGAGCTCCTGAAGTAAGCACTAAATATGGACAGGAAAAACTATTATCAGCCACTGCAAAAACACACTGAAGTACACAAACAAATGACACTATGGAGCAACTTCACCAACAATTCTGCAAAATAACCAGCTATTATCATGATGACAGGATCAAATTCAGATATGTAATAATATTAACCTTAAATGTAAATGAGCTAAGTGCCTCAATTAAAAGACACAGAATGGCAAGCTGGATAAAGAGTCAAGATCCTTCAGTGTGTTGTATTAAAGAGACCCATCTCACGTGCAAAGACACACACAGGCTCAAAATAAAGGGACGGAGGAAATCCTACCAAGCAAATGGAAAGCAGAAAAAAGCAGGGGTTGCAATCCTAGTTTCTGACAAAACAGACTTTAAACCAACAAAGATCAAAAAAGACAAAGAATGGCATTACATAATGGTAAAGGGATCAATTCAACAAGAAAAGCCAACTATCCTAGATATATATGCACCCAATACAGGAGCACCTAGATTCAAAACACAAATTCTTAGAGACCTACAAAGAGACTTTGACTCCTATACAATAATAGTGGGAGACTTTAACACCCCACTGTCAATATTAGACAGATCATTGAGACAGAAAAATTAACACAGATATTCAGGACTTAAACTCAGCTCTGGATCCAGTGGACCTGATAGATATCTACAGAACTCTCCACCCCACAATTACAGAATATACATCATTATTGGCACGACATGGTAGTTCTCTAAATTGATCACTTAATCGGAGGTAAAACATCCCTCAGCAAATGCAAAAGAACTGAAATCATAACAGTCTCAGACCACAGCATAATGAAGTTAGAACTCAAGATTAGGAAACTCACTCAAAACCACACGACTACATGGAAATTGAACAACCTGCTCCTGAATGACTCCTGGGTAAATAATGAAATAAAGGCAGAAATCAAGAAGTTCTTTGAAACCAGTGAGAGCAAAGAGACAATGTACCAGAATCTCTGGGATGCAGGTAAAGCAGTGTTAAGAGGAAAATTTATAGCACTGAATGCCCACAACAAAAAGTTAGAAAGATCTCAAATCAACACCCTAACATAACAACTGAAAGAACTAGATAACCAAGAGCAAACAAACCCCAAAGCTCACATAAGACAAGAAATAACCAAGATCAGAGCAGCACTGAAAGAAATAGGTAGGTACACAAAAAAAACCTTCAAAAAAATCAATGAATCCAGGAAATGTTTTTTTGAAAAAATTAATAAAATAGACCTCTAGTTAGACTAATAAAGAAGAAAAGGGAGAAGAATCAAATAGACACAATAAAAGATGATAAAGGGGTTATTACCATTGACCCCACAGAAACACAAATGACCATCAGAGAATACGTTAAACAACTCTATGGAAATAAACCAGAAAATTTAGAAGAAATGGATAAATTCCTGGACACGTAGACCCTCCCAAGACTAAACCAGGAAAAAGTTGAATCCCTGAATAGAGCAATAACAAGTTCTGAAATTGAGGCAGGACTAAATATCCTACCAACCATAATATCCTGGGATCAGATGGATTTACAGCTGAAATCTATCAGAGGTACAAAGAGAAGCTAGTACCATTTCTTTTGAAACTATTCCAAAAAAATGAAAACAAGGGACTTCTGTCTAACTCATTTTATGAGCTCAGCATCATCCTGAAAGCAAAACCTGGCAGAGATACAACAAAAAAAGAAAACTTCAGGCCAATATCCTTGATGAACATCAATGCAAAAATCCTCGATAAAATACTTGCAACCTGATCCATCAGCATATCAAAAAGCTTATTTACCAAGATCAGCTTTATCCCTGGGATACGAGGCTGGTTCAACATATGCAAATCAGACGGAATTCATCACATAAAGGGAACTAAAGACAAAAATCACATGATTATCTCAATATACAGAAAAGGCCTTCAATAAAATTTAACATCCCTTCATGTTAAAAACTCTCAATAAGCTAAGTTTTGATGGAACATACCTGAAAATAATAAGAGCTATTTATGACAAACTGAAAGCCAATATCATACTGAATGGGCAAAAGCTGGAAGCATTCCCCTTGAAAGCTGGCACAAGACAAGGATGCCCTCTCACACTACTATTCCTATTCAACATAGTATTGGAAGTTCTGGCCAGGGCAATCAGGCAAGAGAAAGAAATACAGGGTATTCAAATAGGAAGAGAGGAAGTCAAAATTACTCTATTTGCAGATGACATGATCCTATATCTGGAAAGCCCCCAGCATCTCAGCTCAAAAGCTTCTCAAGCTGATAAGCCACTTCAGAAAAGTCTCAAGATACAAAATCATTTTGCAAAAATCACAAGCATCCCTACACACCTAAAATAGGCAAGCAGAGAGCCAAATCATGGGTGAATTCCCATTCATAATTGCTAAAAAGAGAATAAAATATGTAGAAATATAGCTAAGAAGAGAAGAAAAGGACCTTTTCAAGGAGAACTACAAACCACTGCTCAAGGAAATGAGAGGACACAACAAATAGAAAAACATTCCATGCTCACACATAGGAAGAATCAATATTGTGAAAATGGCCATATTACCCAAAATAACTTAGAGATTCAATGTTATTCCCATTAAACTATCATTGACATTCTTCACAGAATAAGAAAAAAACGACTTTAAAATTCATATGCAACCAAAAAAGAGCCCATATAGCCAAGACAATCCTAAGCAAAAAGAACAAAGCTGGAGGCACCACACTACCTGACTTCAAACTATACTACAAGGCCATAGTAAGCAAAACAGCGTAGTACGCGTACAAAAACAGACACATAGACCAATGGAATGGGATAGAGATCTCAGTAATGAGACCACACATCTACAACCATCTGATCTTCAAAAAACCTGACAAAAACAAGCAATGGGGAAAGGATTCCCTGTTTAATAAATGGTGCTGGGAGAACTGGCTAGCCATATGCAGAAAATTGAACTGGACCCCTTATTTGCACCTTATACAAAAATTAACTCAAGATAGCTTAAAGCCTTAAATGTAAAATCCAAAACTATAAACACCCTAGAAGAAAATCTAGGCAATACCATTCAAGACATAGGCACGGGCAAGGATTTCATGACAAAAACATCAAAAGCAATTGCAAGAAAAGCAAAAAGTGACAAATGGGATCTAATTAAACTAAAGACGTTCTTCATAGCAAAAGACACTATCATCAGGGTGAACAGACAACCTATAGAATGGGAGAAAATTTTTGCAAACTACCCATGTGACAAAGATCTAATATCCTCAATCTACAATGAACTTAACCAAATTTACAAGAAATAGAAACAACCCCATTAAAAAGTGGGGAAGGACATGAAGAGACACTTCTCAAAAGAAGACATTTATGCAACCAACAAATATATGAAAGAAAGCCCAACATCCCTGACCATTAGAGAAATGCAAATCAAAACCACAATGAGATGCCATCTCAAGCCAGTCAGAATGGCAATTATTAAAAAGTCAAGAAACAACAGATCCTGACAAGGCTTTAGAGAAATAGGAATGCTTTTACACTGTTGGCGGGAATGTAAATTAGCTCAACCACTGTGGAAGAAAGTGTGGCAATTCCTCAAAGACCTGGAACCAGAAATAACATTTGGTCCAGCAATCCCATTACTGGGTATATGCCCCAAGGAATATAAATCATTCTATTATAAAGATACATCCACACGTATATTCATTGCAGCTCTATTCATGATAGCAAAGACATGGAATCAACCCAAATGCTCTTCAGTGATAGACTGGATAAAGAAAATGTGGTACATATATACCATGGAATACTATGCAGCTGTAAAAAGTAGTGAGATCATATCATTTGTAGGGACATGGATAGATCTGGAAGTCATTATCCTCAGCAAACGAACACAAGAACAGAAAACCAAACAGTGCATGTTCTTACTTATAAGTGGGAGTTGAACAATGAGAACACATAGACACAGGGAGGGGAATAACACACACTGGGGCCATTCGGGGATGGGGCAGGAGGAGGGAGAACATCAGGATAAATAGTTAATGCCTGTGGGGCTTAATACCTAGGTGATGGGTTAGTAGGTGCAGCAAGCCACCATGGCACACGTTTACCTATGTAACAAACCTGCACGTCCTGCACATGTATTCTGGAACTTAAAATTAAGTTAAAAAAAAAAGAAATTAAAATATGTGAGTTCAAAGGCATTTGTTTAAATTTGTGAGTTGGAAACGGATTATATCATGAAATGTGAAAACTCAAGTAGCACCCTTTGCCTAAAGTATAAGAGTTATCTTTAAGTATTATTTTCTCTTCCTTGTTTCTTCTTCTCACCTTCCTCTCTCCCTAGCCTCATCCTTTCTATGTGAATTTGGGCTGAGATTGAAGACACAGTTATAGAACCTGACAGCATATGTAGAAACTGTTCTTGCCGGTGTGAGATAACTGGCTATGTCTATTTAAATTTAACTCCATTTAAACTCCATTTCAATTGTGAGTTGCAGATGCATAGTGCCTAATTTATGTGTTATACACACACGTAAATACACAAATACATACATATAAATATATGTGTGTGTGTATCCATGTCTCTCTCTCTCTAGATATATAAACTATATATATATACTTATTTCCAAGAAATATGTTTTTGATTACTAATTTTTTAAAAAGTAATATGGGAGTGATTCATTTCCAAATAGTCTTATACTTCTTTATCATGGCAATTCAATATAAAGCAAATGTGGAAACAATGTCACTGATTTAAAAGGAGGAGAAGCATATAAGCAGTAAATCATGCTTCCTTATTAATACAAGAGATAGAGAAATAGTTTTGCTACTCTTTTCCCATCTTTATCATTTTCCTCTGGATTTGGACTTTAAAACTATAATCATTAAGCTCAGTTTTTATATTTTATTTTATTTTTAAGTTTTAAGCTTTGTGGGAACATAGTAGGTGTATATATTTATGGGGTACTGAGATATTTTGATACAGGCATGCAATTTTAATTATCACATCATGAAGAATGGGGTATCCATCTCTTCAAGCATTTCTTTGTATTTTAATGCGATTATACTCTTAGTTATTTCAAAATGTACAATTATTACTGACTATCATCACCTTGTTGTACTATCAAATAGTAGGTCTTATTGGTTTTGATATTAAAAAAATACTTTGAAAGCAGGTTATGTAAAGCTTTACAGTTTGACTATTGCTTTTTTGTACACCCTGGGTGGGTAAAGCTTTAAACTCCTCAGGTGTCTTGAGGAACTATCAATGGACCATTAAACAGCTATATTATGCCATAGAACTATATTCCTGGCAACATTTGACCCGTGTCATCATGTCCTTCCTTGCACATCTTCTAAAATAACAGTCCGACAGCTTTATGTACCCATGTGTGGCGTGGTAATGTGATCTCAGGCAGGTTGTAGGGATCATGTTCAGCTCAGATATGTTGACCTGTGGTCAAACAATGGGTAATATGTCAATCACAGAACTCATATTCAATACAAGAACTTTGTTTTAAGCCATGACATACTTTGGTATATGTCACTTTTGTGTAAATCTTTAGCTGAAATTATAATGTTGAGGAAAAGATATGGGTAAATGTATTTCTGAGTCCTTTCTGTTTTTCTTCTCTTAATGTGTGCACCCCAATCAACTGCCAGTCAAATTCATGGAATTCACTTCATGCATATCTTTGGGAATGCTTTATGGCCATGAGAGTCAAATGAAAAAGGTAACAGAGGAAAGGAAAATGACTCCTAAGGAAAGGATGAGAGATAAATTGAATGATGCACAATTTATTGCCTTGAAAGATGGATAGGATACAGATTGGTAAAATAGATTCGCTATGTTGGGCAAAGAGCTTAGGTTTTATATGGAAGACAAGATTTTGGAGAAGAGTAGAAACCTGATATGAATCAGTATTTTAGAAACATTAATAAAGCAGTGGGCCACAGGAGAGCCAGGAGTAGGAGATGATTAGAAAGGGGAGAATATAACTGTATTAGCCTACAAGTCTTGAGGTAAGAGACATAGAGTTTAGAAGGAAGGTGACACCCAATAAGAGAGAAAGAGGCAAGTTCAAGAGGAATGTTACTTGATGAAATTTTAGAATTTGGAATTGGCACATGATTGGCTAAATGAAGTGGTAGTAGGAGGAATCTACTAATTAGGTGAACTGAAATGTGTATTTCTAAATATTTCTCCTTAAATTATACTTCAATAAAACCGTAAATGATATTAGCTCATATATTTCCAAATACAGGGCACTCCACCTAGGAAGTTAGAAAAGTTTGTTAATAATTGAGGAAAAAGAGAGATAATTGGGATTGAAGATAGTGAAAGGAGATCACAGCTGGAGAGCAGGAATAGGTTTCCCCCCACAAAATAGCCTTGGGCTGTATGAAGTCAGTAGGTGCTTTGAAATTCTATTTCTGTGTCCAAGGGTATGAGGAGCCCACAAGAGCCAGGTCAGAAGTTGCTGATAAGTACTTATCTGGCTTAGAGTTAACATGGGCGGACCTAAAAGTCTTTAAGTTGGCATTAGGGGAAAGGTGGTTGAAGAAATACCATGGCAAAGTCTTATGATAGCACACATTTATTTCCTCTGTGGCAGGCACTTTTCCAAGACCTTTACATATTGTCATTTGGCCATCGCAATAATTTTATGAGATAGGTATTCTTACTCTCCCCCCAATCTCACCTATTCTCATGTTACAGGTGAGAAGTCTGAGACCCAGAGAGGTTGAATAACTTGATTTGTGTAACATAGCTGATGAATATTAGATCAGAATTAAAGTGCTGATGGTCTGACTTCAACAACTTTAGACTCTTGGACACTATGTTAAATTGTCTCATGCTGCATACTTGGAGATATCTTTAATTATCCTGAGTTAAATAAGTCAATGTGAGTTACCCAAAGCTTTCTCTGCAACATGTATCAAACATATACTGAATAGATGGGGTCCCTTTAAAATCAGAATGTGGAAGTCAATGAAATACAATTGTTTGATTTCACTCTTGTATTGGATAATATTGGTATCTGCCTTTATGCTTGTTCCTACAAAATCTGTTCTGCTTACCCTCGCATGGCTCACCTGCTTCCATCTGTGGGATGCAGGCTCTCCATGCTCTGGGGTTTCTACCTGTGTTGGCAAGAAGCAGGCGCACAAGCGGAGGCATAAGCCCTCTAGGCTTCCTCACTGACTTTCTGATATCCCCATTTCCATGTAGACTGAATTCCTGATACTCCAACTGTAGTAAATAACTGTCAGCAGGAGCATCACTTCAGCTCTTACCTTGGAACTGTTAAATCAGAAGCTGCGCTTTAATAAGATTCTCAGGTATCATGTGTGCACATTCAAATTTGAGAAGCACTGACCTAAGTGTCTTTACTGCTCAGCAGCTGACCTATCTGTGTGGTACCTGATTTCAAGTGCAGTTTCTGATGTATTGTGAAACCTTTGTTTCTGGCACCTGGGTTTGTAGGTATCTAAGTGGTTTCTCAAACACATCTCCGTCCAGACTTCTAATGTTTGCAGATTTCTCTATTTTTTCCATTTCTAGTTTCTTGTTCTGTCTCTTCCATGGTCTATCCCTACTTGTGGTCTTAGAACTAAAGAAATAATAATAATTATATTACTTGTTTCCTTATAAAAAATCACAAAATGAAGATATGTAACTAAAGGAACTATTAACCTAGGTGGACATTTGTATCAATTATTTGGACCAATATTTTGGCTGTTTTTGGACTATGGCAATGCAATTAATCAACAGAGCCCTCTTTCCCTCCACTCATTCCATATCTGCAGTACGTGGCATTATATGTGAAACGAGAACTCGGTAATAGTTCTTATTTTCTCATTATGTTAAACAAAAAGACAATTAATTACTTATCATTTTTCAATGGGTGATGATTGAAAGACATGAATGTCTTTGGTTGCCTTTCTCAGAAGTGTAGCAGAGGTCAACTGGCTGATTCCTCTGTTGCTACTTCTAGGATTCCTACGGTGTGTGAGATATTTACTCAATTTAAGTATTAGTCATCCATGGGGATTTCCTGTGTAATAACTCTTACAGGTATAATTTCAAAGAAGAGCATAAAGGTGTGTTTACAGACATCCACCCACACCCCTTTCCCTGAAGAGTGTACTTTTTAAGTGTTACTGTGATGAATCTTCTTTGAAGATTCAATGTCAGGTAGAACCTAAAAAAAAATGTTTTTCTCAGTAGATTTACAAAAGAAAGTTTTATCTAGTGAGTTTAGAAAATGGCACAGGGTTGGGTACAGAAGAAAAAATCAAAATGCATAGTACTTTTAAAATTATGAATTAAGAATTTGAAAACTAAATGATAGAGTCATGAGAAACAAGGAATTATTCCTTTGTGCTCTAGTTATGACATTTGTGCAGTTGTTACTATTCTGTTCCCTTATTTATTTTTCATAGGCCTGCATTGAAGAGCATACACAAAGCCTCTGTCAAATAACGTCTCTACATATCCCACTGACACTGCAAAGTTTAGACATTTGGAAAGATTCTACTCTCCCAAGGAGAGTCTGCAGCTGAGGAGCAGTGGCATACAGAATTAAACTTCCAGGAAAATCCCTGGGTCACTTTGTAACCTTTTGAAAACAGCTTTATCCTAAATTGATCTCCAAAGGCAAAGACAAGTAATAACAACAAGAAATGCAAAGGCAAATAATAATGAGAAACACGTGCTTATTCTTCGAGGTGGCTGAATCGAAGCTTTTTTTTATTTTTTATTTTTAAGTGATGCTCTAGGACTCTAAGGCTGTGCCATCACATAGTGAGCAAAGAGCTCTTGTTCTTTGATTTTATTTCTGGTTCATGGTTTTATTATAGAATCTTCACCATCTCCAGTGATTTGTAAAATCTTCACCATCTCCAGTGATTTGTAGAGTGAAGCTGATTGTGTGGGAAGCCATACTGAATTTTGCAAAACTGATAGGATATTCTTTGATGTGTAGAGACATAGTTTTTGATTGTGCTATATGGATTTGCCACTGAGGCAAAAACTAGTTTTAAGTCCTATTTAGGGACAAGGCGAGGATTGGAGTAATTTTCTAAAAATGTAATAGAAGAGGTTCCACACTTTATAATCTCAGAATGCAGAGGTAGTCAGGGGAAAGGGCAGTCTTTAAGATGGAATAAATTTTAAGTCTCATCAAATAGGAACATACCTGGAGTGTTCCTTTTGGCAGTAGCATGTCTCAAGGAGCTACATACAAGATGATATAGAGCTTTCCTTTACATAATTACACTATCTATTGGTACAGATGTTTGATTTCTTCTCTGACCTTCTAGTCACATAATTTTATATTTATACACCAATCTATCTAAATTCAATCCATTTTTCAAGGCCAAGCACTATGTGTTATATTGTGTTATATTTTTGTTCTATGATATTCTTCTTCTTTCATGGGGTCAACCTTGTCTGAGTCAGCACAGGATTTTACATTTTTTTTTTCTAGAAGTCATCACATGGCTAACCTAGTTTAAATCACTCAATTTTTAGTTGAAAGAAGAGAAGCCCCAAAAGATAACATAATGCATGGCTCAGGCAGGACAAAGATTTTTGTTTGTGTTGTTGTTGATGCTCTTTATACCTTTAAATGCTATATTTTTTGGCACTTAGAGAAATACTGCTTTGCAATATTTGTCAATTCTAAATGTGCTTTTATATTTTTTCCCAAACTAGAAGCTCCTCGAAGGTAAGAATATGGTTTTCTTCAGTATCTGTACAGAGATTAGCACAGTGGCTACCATATAGTACGAGGAATCCTATATGCAATAAAGGGAAATCCTGTATATTAGGTAGCAATTGCTGTAACAAAGCTGTATAATAATGTCCTCCAATATTTGGTGGCTTAAAACAGCAATTATTATTATATGTGATTTGGATACAAATTGGCTGATTTAAATTGGGCATGGCTGGTTCTGCTGCAAGCCATGGGTCCACTTGGGCTTTGTATCTTCCTGTAGGCTGGGCTCAGGCTTACTCCAGGTGTATTAATTCTACAGTCCAGGCTGAAGGAATAAGAACTATCCAAGGGAAGCTCATCTTGTCCGATGGTAGAGGTGTGAGAGGGCAAGTTCAACAGCTAAGGCATGTTTCCAACCTCATTTCGCATCACCGCTGCTATGATTTCATTCGCCAAAGCAAGCATGAGGCTAAAGTTAAGGAGTCAGATGTTTGATATTAAGGAGTCAGAATTCTTTTGGTCCACTCTTAGGCTAAAGCAAGTCCCATGGGTGAAGAGGAGAATGGAATATATACTGAATAAGAATCTACCGCAAACTTAATCCTATACCCTGAAGGCATTCCTGTTCCTGCTAAGACTCTCTCCACTCTTGGTAGATTTTTGTTTCCCTGAAGTAATCATTAATAGCGCCCCCTTCCAATGTCTATGATGTACTAGTTTTAGTGAGAAATGTTATGATCCCTCTAATTAAGAGAATACAGGGGCACCTCTTTAAATTTCCCATCAGTTATTCCAATCCATTGGCAATGGCTCAGCATTTAAAGTGATGTATGAGTATCCATGGGTGTCAATAGAAAGAACTTTCCAAAAATAGTAGGAGCACAAAAAATAAAACAAGAAAATGATTCTTGAAACAGTAATGTCATCAGATAAAACAGAGGAGAGTAAGTATGAGCTCTAAAAGGAGGAATTAAATGCAGAGGTTTCAGGGGGATATTTCAGCCAGAAGCTGGAAACAGTCTGGTAACATGGCATTTATTCTTTGCTCTGTGTCATACTATTTCTTCATTTATGTGAATGCATGTATAAACTAGACTGCATGTGTTTGTAAAAGTCTATAACTCCTACCAACATACTTAGTGGATACTTTATGTTTTATGAATTTAAAAACAGGCCGGGCATGGTGGCTCACGCCTGTAATCTCAGCACTTTGGGAGGCCATGGTGGGTGGATTGCTTGAGGTCAGGAGTTTGAGACCAGCCTGGCTAACATGGTGAAACCCCGTCTCTACTAAAAATACAAAAAAATTAGCTGGGTATGGTGGCACGGACCTGTAATCCCAGCTACTCAGGAGGCTGAGGCAGGAGAATCACTTGAACCCGGGAGGCGGAGGTTGCAGCGACTTGAGATCGCGCCGGTGCACTCCAGCCTGGGCGACAGAGAGAGACTCCATCTCAAAAAAACAAAACAAAACAAACAAACAAGAAGGGTTTTAAATTTTTAAGAAAGAGTTTGTGTGTATACATTATTCTTGTGTGTACATTACATACAAAATGTACATTATATATTATATATGCACTTACAATACGTGTAGTATATACATTATATATTATATATAAATACCATACATACATGAATACACATACACATACATACCACACATACATAGATACAGTTATGTCTTGCTTAATGACAGGAATATGTTCTGAGAAATATATCAAATGATTTCATTGTCTTGTAAGCACCATAAAGCGTACTTGGGCAAACCTAGGTGTAGCCTACTATACAGCTAGGTTCCATGGCATAGCCCATCACCCCTAGGCTACAAACCTATATGGCATGTTACTCTACTGAATACTGTAGGCAACTGTAACTCAAGGATAAATATTTGTGTATCTAAACATATATGAATACTGAAAAGGTACAGTAAAATTATAGTATAAAAGATAAAAGATGGTATACCTGTATAGGGCACTTACCATGAATGGAGCTTGCAGGACTGGGTGTTGCTCTGGGAGAGTGAGTGGTGAGTGAATTCGAAGGCCTAGGACATTACTGTTCGCTACTATAGACTTTGAAAACACTGTACACTTAGGGTACGCTGAATTTATAAAAAAAATTTTTTGTGCCTGTAATCGCAGCACTTTGGGAGGATGAGGCAGGTGGATCACAAGGTCAGGAGTTTGAGACCAGCCTGACCAACATGGTGAAACCCCGTCTGTACTAAAAATACAAAAATTACCCGGGCATGGTGGCGCACGCCTGTAATCCCAACTACTCGGAGGCTGAGGCAGGAGAATCGCTAGAACCCAGGAGGCGGAGGTTGCAGTGAGCCCAGATCGTGCCACTGCACTCCAGCATGGGTGACAGAGCAAGACTCTGTCTCAAAAAAAAAAAAAAATTGTTTCTTCAATAATTTTGTTGTTGTTGTTGTTTTGATTTTGAGACAGAGTCTCACTCTGTCACCAGGCTGGAGTGTTGTGGCAAGATCTCGGCTCACTGCAACCTCCACCTCCTGGGTTCAAGCGATTCTCCTGCCTCAGTCTCCAGAGTAGCTGGGATTACAGGTGCATGCCACCACGCCCAGCTAATTTTTGATTTTTGTATTTTTAGTAGAGATGGGCTTTCACCATGCTGGCCAGGATGGTCCTGATCTCCTGACCTCGTGATCCGCCTGCCTCGGCCTCCCAAAGTGCTGGGATTACAGGCGTGAGCCATGGTGCCCAGCCTGTTTCTTCAATAATTAACCTTAGCTTAATGTAACTTTTTTACTTTATAGACTTTTAAATTAATTATAATAATTATAATAATTTAGCTTAAAGTATACATTGTATAGCTGTATATATTTTCTTTCTTTTTATCCTAATTCTATAAGCCTTCTTCTATTTTTAATTTTGTTTTCACTTTTTAAATTTTAGTATTAAAAATGAAAATACAAACATGCACATTACTTTAGACCTACACAAGGTCAAGATTGTCAATATCACTGTCTTCAATCTCTACATCTTGTCTGGCTGGAACATCTTCAGGGACAATAAGCATGGAACAGTCATCTCCTGGGATAACAATGCCTTCTTCTCCTTTTTTTTTTTTTTGAAACAGAGTCTTACTCTGTTGCCCAAGCTGGAGTGCAGTAGTGCAGTCTCAGCTCACTGCAACCTCTGTCTCCTGGGCTCAAGTGATTAGCCTGTCTTAGCCCCCCACGTAGCTGGGAGTACAGGTGCAAGCCACCATGCCTGGCTAATTTTTGTATTTTTTGTAGAGATGGGGTTTCACCATGTGGCCCAGGCTGGTATCAAACTCCTGAGCTCAGGCAATCCACCCTCATCTGCATCCCAAAGTGCTGGGATTACAGGCATGAGTCACCTCACCCAGCCAATAATGCCTTCTTCTGGAATGTTCCTGAGGGACCTGCCTGGGGCTGTTTTAGAGTTAGCTTAAAAAAAAAAATAAGTAGAAGGGGTACATTCTAAAATAATGATAAAAGACATAATATAGTAAATACATAAACCAGTAACATAGTGGTTTGTTATCATGATCAAGTATTATGCACTGTATACAATACATGTGCTTATACTTTTTTACAATTGGCAGCACAATTGGCTGGTTCGCACCGTTATCACCACAAATGTGAGTAATGTGTTGCAGTGTGACATTTGATGCCTATGTTACTAGCTGATAGGTATTTTTTGGCTCAGTTATAATCTAACGGGTCCATTATTGTATATGTGGTCCATCCTTGACCCAAATGTCATTACCGTATACCTGTAAATTTCTGTAGAATTTTCCTTTAAGGATTTAATTTTTTGCTTCCGTCAATTCCCATAACATTTCTCTAAGCAGGTATGGAAGTGAAATTCATAAGTACTATTGTAGACTTTTATAGATAAAGAAAACCTAAGGAAATCAATATGCAAGACAACATAAAGATGCTCTGTATGTGATTGAAGCAGATAACACAAATACCCTCTTTGACCAAATGCTGTTAGTTAAACAGATTTCTTGGCACAGCTAAGTCAGCTCTTTGAGCAAACCAACGTCCTCTTAGTCCTTACCTTTTTCAAAGGACATTATAGGAGTTTCAACAAAGAAATGAAAAGCAGATAAAGAGATTTGGGTTAATTTAAAAAAACAAATGAAGAAGTGATAAGAGGCTTTTAGGAAAGATAACCTGCCACTGTCAGGTGAGGGGACCAACTCAACCATAAGAGGGAGGACGGTGGGGCTCTGTGGTCTTAATGCACAGAGTAAACGCTTCCCTGAAACAAGCTCTGAAGGTGTGAAAATAAAGATAATTTCAGGAAGGAGACTTTAAGAGAGGCTTTAAAGTTAGCTTCTTTCTTGGCTTCTGTTCTTTGAGACCAGAAATACTGAGCTTGCATCAGCAGGTGAGTGATGGAATTGGCGATGAAGCCAGGACTCCTGACTACTGTTATGGTACACAGCATTATTGCAGCAGTCTCAAGGCAAGCAAATAAGTACCAATAGAAATAAGAAACATTTTTAAGCATTTCAACAGAATTACTTCTTTTCCACCAAATATGTAAGAGAGTGCTTTTTAAAAAGTACACATTTAAATGTGTGATTTTAAATTATCAGGTTAAATCCAATTGTAATGAAGACAATTTTAACAAAGATACTGCTATAAAAGAATTCTCCAGGACTTACTTGTACCCCATTCCTCCTTTCTCCTACTCTCCTAGTGTCTACTGGCAGCGCTTTATTTATTTATTTTTTTGTAATTTGTTTTATTTTACTTTAAGTTCTGGGATATATGTGCAGAATGTGCAGGTTTGTTACGTAGGTATACACGTGCCATGGTGGTTTGCTGCACCCATCAACCCAGCATCTAGGTTTTAAGCCCTGCATGCATTAGGTATTTTTCCTAATGCTCTCCCTCCCCTTACTCCCCACCCCCCAAAAGGCCCCGGTGTGTGATGTTCCCCTCCCTGTGTCCATGTGTTCTCATTGTTCAACTCCCACTTATAAATGAGAACATGTGGGATGAAGCTGACAGCTCTTTAAATATGAAATATATACAGAGGCAGATATATAGATGCTTTCCAATCTACCTAACACTGACCCCTATTTAAACCCCATGCTTCCATTTCTATCTGCTTATGGAACAGTGTGTATGTATTATTCCCACTTCAGATGCAGTTTTGCTAAAAAATTATTGTCATCATTCTTTTCCACAAACCAGATTTCTTTTGAAAGTTCCAAATTCTCTCAATATTGCTACCATTTTTTGACATCTTAGCATAATCCTTCCTTCCTACTTATCTTTGAATCACTCCACCCATAGCTGCTGATCGAATCTGTTACTTTGTTTTCTATGTGATACTGTTGAAGATTCTATCTCCCTTGTCATTCACACTATTTCTACTTCCTTTTCACACATCAGTCACTCCTCACCTGAGTGTGGTGACAACCTCTTAACTGGATCCCCTGCCTACACACAATTTTCTTTTTCTAATCTATTTTAGATCACATTGTTCTTGAAAATAAAAATCTTAAAAAAATTTTTAACATGTCTTTTGTTCAAACACCTTCAATACCTATGACTAGGAGAATAAAGTCCAAGTTCTTAAGCTAACAACCAGAAATTTCTTAGTTCTTAGCTTCCCCTCTACTTTCTATTCTCAATCTTAGCTTCCCCTCTACTTTCTATTCTTACAATTCATTTTTTTTCAGATAAAAAACAATCAGTTGTATTCCTTCAGCTCTACTTAGAAAAGAGATGTTTTATGATGGTTTTATCTTGTTAAAATTGATTTTTAATTTTAAAATAATAAGTAAATTTTAAAGATTAAAATTTCAGTACTGTTTTTAACTTATAAAATATGGTAAAAATGTACATTCCAGATTAATTTGGGTGAAGAACTACACTTCATGGTTTTAACCATCTATTATTTTGAGATAGAAGTGATATTATACATTCTTCACTGGCTGTTCAAACACTGACCTTAAGGATAACCCAGAGCATATCTGAGAATGTGATAACCTAAATCCCCTTTAATGATTCTTAATTGGCGTGATGGCTTTCTAGAATAGATGTGTCTTGAGCTGAAACTGGAAGGATTTATATCTTTGAGGAAGTTAGGGAAAAAAAGAGAGGAATCTGGGTTAAAGTAGGAGCATGACAAAATAAGAAAGGTAGAAATAATTATTGTTTAAGTGGGGACAGCAAGGCTTTCCTGGAAAAGACAAAATGTGGTAGAATACTAGAGATAAAAATTGCACAAATTGTGGAGTGTATTGAATTATAGATGAAGGCTTTGAGTATGATTGGGCTTTTCTTGGACAAGCAAGTCATGAGGATAATTAAAGTAATGTTTTCTGAGGATCAGTCTTGTGCTATGTGCAGATTTGAATGGGAAGTGAAACCAGACAGAGCTGGAGACATCAAATAGGAGGCCATGTAGTTGTCTGGAAGTAAGGAAATGAAGGCCTCCCTGCGGTGATGGGCGTGGAAACGGACAAAGCAAGTCAGACATGAGAACTATTTTGAAAGAAAAATTGATAAAATTTATGACAGATTAAACGTAGAGGATGTAGTACAGGTGTCTTATAAAAATTCTAGTATCACTGACCTGAAAATAGGGAATTGTGTATTAGAGACTGATTTAGGAAGAAAGATGATGAAGTTAGATTCAAACATATTCAGTTGAAATGTGTGATAATGGAGATAAAGAACTAAGTTTAAGTGAGTGGCTAGAACTGTAACTATAAATAGATTAGAGATAAGGATTGAAACTGTGGAAATAGATGAGCTCATTAAAGAAGAGACTATAAGATAAGGAGAACAGAGGGCTTTGAATTTGTCAGAAAAGTCCTTTGCTCCTCAATCTACATTCATTACCTATTCAAATAACTTCACTTTTATAACATCATTTCTATCTCTTTGTTATTTTGACTACCTGTTTTGCCTTCCTTTTTCAAGTCTTGCTAAACTCTCAAGTTGAGGATCATGGCTCTTATTCTGACCTCCATAATCTACAACTCCTTGATTTCCATTAGTTATGGACTAATGACTTGATCTATTACCTTTCATATTTTTCTTCCATCTTAGTTTCTTAGCTGCTGACCATATGAGACATTGTGCTGTAGTCTTGAGCTGTCCACAGGAAAAGAAAAAGAAACTAGTGAAAGATGTGCAGGAGTGGTTATAAAAATATGAGAACCAGAATTATGCATTAGAAAAGTCAAGAGGGAAGGAAGAAGACAATTCAGAAACTCTTGAGGACTGACATTATGAAATGCAATATTGGTGTCATAAGGATGCCAGCAAATTAGTGGGGCATCATAGGGACTTTTATTCCTTCACAAATAGACATCAAAAAATCATACTAAAATGTGGAAAAAGTCACTATTCAATAAAAACTGGCCATTACAGAAAGTGAAGTTCTCATGACATTGCAATTTAGCAAGATACTGCCGAACACATCTTCATTTGACCAAGCATAGGATTCTATTTTTTGGGGATTGCAATCCTGATGGCATCTGTCAGATTGAGGTAGGAGTTGGGACTTGACTCTGAAGGCAGGGCTCAGACACTGGATCAAATTGAGGACTAAGAAAGATGAGACAGAAGCAGCTTTCTATAAGACACAACCACCAGTGTGCCATGTCAGTTTACCATTGCCATGGCAACACCCAGGCATTACAACCCGTTTCCATGGCAATGACCTGACAACCCAAATTTCTGCATAAACTTCCCCTTAATCTACATGTAATTAAAAGTAGGTATAAATATGACTGCAAAGCTGCCCTGAGCTGCTACAGTAGTCAGCACCCTGCCTATGGGGTAGCCTTGCTCAGCAAGAGCAGTCACGGAGCCGTAACACCGCTGGACTCTGCCACTTCAATAAAGCTGTTTTCTTCTACCCTACCACTGGCTCACCCTTGAATTCTTCACTGGGCAAAGCCAAGAAGCCTTGCAGGCTAGGCCCCACTTTGAAGCTCACCTGCCCTGCATCAAGGTTACTTCTGGCTTATAGGGTGAGGACTGGAAAAACTCTGTTAACTAGAAGATTCTTCATTCATTTTTTTTTTTGTAAATGCTTCTCGTAAGTTGCAATGTAACATCCATGGTTTCATGTAAGCAAAAAATACCAATTACATATGACTTTTGAAAAATTGTGTAAGACCTTTTGGAAGATACCTACTTTAATGTTAAGGTGGTTGAATGGCAAATGCAAAAATGTATTAGGCCTCTATGGCCAATATCCCACTAATTAAGGATTTAGTTATTCTTGGATAGCTTCAGGCAATGTAAATGTAGATTTTGTGTCTAAATAGTGGTAGACTGCTGGTCAGGTGTGTTTCAATTGCATTATTTTAAGCTTATCCTTAGATGCCTTATCCTTTTTCTAGTCAATTATCTGCCCTTCAAAACCTACTAAACTGTTTTCTCTTTTCAGCTGTCCTAGTAATAACTATCATTTCAACTGTGCAGAGATGATTTAATACCAGTCTAATATTACAATCTTATAATCCATAGACTTAATGCCCCACCTGCAAATGATCTAGAACTATTACCTTCGGATAATGGTACTGATGGTTACTTTGCGTCTGGTTTTGCAGATAATGTAAATTGCTAACAAAATTCTCGTACTTCTGACTTGTGGGGGGTTCATTCTTGGGTAAGAAAATGTTGTTTAATGCAGTATTTTTCTTGAGCTTCATGCTCTCTTTTTGCGCTTGGTTTTGATGATGATACTATTGTCAAAGAAATTTTCACCAAGGGCAGGAACTCCATCACAGGTTAAGGAGGAGATGAATTATATTATTACCACATTTCCTCCATTCTGTCCTGCTCTTCCCCCACTGCATTGTCATGATTGTCACCAAGTTGAGACCTATGGATCACAGGACATGGGGGAATTTTTGCCAAGGAGATCAACGTTTGCTTTGAGCTTATTTTCACTACATATGACATCAAGATTAAGTGTTTTCCAACCCAAGGATCATGGTCTCCTTTCAATCCCAGGTGGTTTGTTCCATTTGGAAAAAGAGCTTCTGAAATTTATTTTAAAAGTATGCAAAGAACTGCAATGATTTGTGCTTTTGTGTATGAGTGAAAACTTTTAAAGATACACATTAGATGAAATAAACGCTCCTCCCTCAATAACAAACAAAATCAGAAAAAGCACAATCTGGATCATTGCAAAAATGACTCAGAAAAATAAATCAATATTAATACCAAACTTTGTTTTGACATGCTGTAAAATGAGACAACTATAATCTTTCAAAGTACAAAGGCAGGGCAGCCTAGTAACTTCTAGAGGACTTTGCCACAACCATTAGAAAGGGAAGTTCTGAATGGGACAGCTAAGTTAATTTGCAAAGGGTATCTCAGCAATCAGACATTGACATTAGTAACTAAACCTACTGAGTTTTCTCCATGATCTTTACCTGTCTTCTCTCCCTCTTTCCTCTTTCTCTTCCCCCTTCTTCTCCCTTCTCCCTCCTGATCTCCTGATCCCTCCCTTTCCATTCCTCTCTCCCTCCTTTCTGTCCTTCTTGCCTGCTGTTCTTCTTAATTTTTTCTCTTTATAGGTCTCTTGATCTCTGTCTGAATGTTTTTGCTTCTTCTATCCCTGTTGAAATCTATATTTTATCATTGCTAGGTTTAGAATTTTATGCTTTTTTTTTTTTTTTAGTTTGAAAGATGAACCAAACTTTTAATATTTCTCTTTCTGGAAAAAACCCAACTCCTATTGAATTTAATTATTTTTTTTCTGATAGAAGAATTAAACAGAGGGAGCGACAACGAGTAAAATATGGAGGCAAAGAGAGATGAGAAAAGAAACAATACAGAAGAAAATGGAAGAGGATGGGTGAAAGAACAGAAGTAAAAAAAATATATAAAATGGGCAGGGGCAGAAAGGAAAAAAAAGTTTAGGGGGTGATGGAATGGATTAATAATACTGGAGGAGGTTCAGGTTCATATTTGGCATCTTCAATTTAACCATGTAGACCGAACTTTTAATTTCTTCGTATTACCACTTTTTACATTATCTAAATTTACTTAAAATGCACTGTTGGATAAAAAGAGGCACCTTTAAATAAGGTCTCTTAATTATTTATACCTTTGGCTACTTAAACCATTAATACTGAGAAGTATTAGAACATAAAGTAAAATTTTTTTATCAGTATAATTAATTCATTCTTAGTATGTTGAAAACAGAATCCTTGGAGTTTGATAACCAAGTAAAGTTTCCATACAAGCATCATTTTTATTGTCTTCTTTACATTTAAAGATATCTACTTTTAATAAGAGGTAGCATCATTTTAATAGTATGCTTGCCTTTTTGCAAAATCTCTATTTTTATTTATTTTTAATTTTTTTTTTATTGAGACGGTATCTCACTCTTGTCGCCCAGGCTAGAGTGCAGTGGTGGAATCACAACACACAGCAGGCTCAACCTCCCAGGCTCAAGCTATCCTCCTGCCTCAGCCTCCTGAGTAGCTGGGACTACAGGCATGCACCACCATACCTGTCTAATTATTGCATTTTCATTTATTGTAGAAATGGGGTTTTGTCATGTTGCCCAGGCTGGTCTTGAACTCCTGGGCTCAAGCAGTCTGTGTCCCCTGGGCTCCCAAAGTGCTGGGATTACAGGGATGAGCCACTGTGCCTGGCCCCAAATATCTATTTTTAAACAGTTTTATCAAAATGTAAAGTGTATAAACACACATATTTAAAGGGTACAATATGGTATGTTTTTGACATGTAAATATTAATGCAACCTCACTTATATTGAAGTTAATGCATGTATTTGTAGAAGTTTCCTAGAGCTCCTTTGTAATTAGTTCCTCCCTCTCACTTCACTCCTCTTCCATGCCTTCACTATCCCTGAGGCAGTCGTGATCATTAAACCTTAGTTTGAGTTAATTTTTGTGGGAGGTATGAATTGAGTTCCGTTTTTTTCATATGGATATCCAGTTGTTCTAGCACAATTTGTTGAAAAGACTGTGCATTCTCCACAGAATTGCTTTTGCATCATTGATGAAATCTGTTGTTCTTATATGTGTATGTCTATTTCTGAATTTTATTATGTTCTATTACTTAGTTTGTTATCTTTATGCCAATACTAAACTGTCTTGAATACTATAGTTTATAGTAAATCTTTGAATCAGATCATATGAATTTCGTATGGAAATGTACAGAACCCAGAACAGTCAAAACAACTTTGAAGAATAAAATTAAAATTGGAGTACTAACATAATCTGATTGACTAATGAAATTTCTTCAAAAATAGAAATTAGACTTACTTGTTTCTTTAAAAACACAGGCTAGGATCTTGATTGGAATTAACTTGAATCTTGAGATTAGTTTGAAAAGACTGGCCGGGCATGGTGTCTCACACCTGTAATCCCAGTACTTTGGGAGGCCAAGGTGGGCGGATTTCAAGGTCAGGAGTTTGAGACCAGCCTGGCCCATATGGTGAAACTCCGTCTCTACTGAAAACAGAAAAAACTTAGCCAGGTGTGGTGGCACATGCCTGTAATCCCAGCTACTTGGGAGGCTGACGCAGGTGAATTGCTTGAACCCTGGAGGTGGAGGTTGCAGTGAGCCGAGATTGTGCTATTGCACTCCAGCTTGGGTGACAGAGTGAGACTCTGTCTTAAACAAAAAAAAGAAAAAATTGACATCTTACCAATAGCGAGTCTTGTGAGCCATGAACACAACATGTCTCAATTTATTTAGAATTTCTGTCACTAATGTTTTATAGTTTTTAGTGTATCGATTTTTCAAATGGTTATCAGATTTATCTCTATTTCATATTTTTGTTGCTATTGTAAATAATGTGTTCAAATGTCAATTTCTGCTTGTTTTATGTTGGTAAATAGAAATAAATTGATTTTCAAAGTGATCTTGTATCCTGCAAATTTGTTAGTGTTCTCATATCTTTTTTGAAGCTTCCATTAGATTTTCTACATAGATGATGATGCCATCTGTAAATAAAACAATTTTACTTTATTGTTTTAATCCAAATACCTTTTATAACCCTCCCATTGTGGCTAGAAATTCTCGTACAATGTTTAACTGAAATGATAAGGCTGGGCCTCCTTTTCTTGTTCCTGACCTCATGGGGAAATCATTCAGTTTTTCACTGTCAAGGATGTCAGTTGTAGTTATTTTCATGTATGTCCTTTGTCAGAATGAGGCAGTTTCTTTCTATTTGTGTGTTCATTTTTGAAGTATGTTTTTTACAGGCACTGTAGAGTTGGATCTTGCATTTTTGTCTGATCTGACAATCTTCACCTTTTACTTACACTATTTGGACCATTTATACTTAATATTATTATTAATATGGTTAGGGTTAAGTGTATATTCTTGCTATTTGTTTCTATTTGTCCATTTGTTCTTTGTCCTTTGTTCCTCTTTTTCTTCCTTATTTTGAATTAAGTGAATATTTTTTATAATTCCATCTCCTTTGTTGATTTATCATGTATAATTCACTGTTCTGTTATCCTGGTGTTTACTTTGGGGTTTAAGTTATACGTCTTTAACTTACTACAGTCTACCTTCAAGTGATATTATACCATTTCACATGTCGTACACAATGGTAAACACCCATTTCTCCCATCCTGAACTTTACCCTATTGTTGTTATACAGCTTATTTTTATATGTTAGAAACCCCACACTACATTTTATCATTTTTGTTAATGTTAGTTATCTTTTAAAGAGACTTGCATAACAAGAGATATAAATAGTAAGATTTTTCTTATCCACATAACTTCAATTTCTAGTACTCTTCATTATTTTGTGTAGGTCAATAATTTTTTTTTGTATAATTTTTTTTCTCCTTTCCCTTAACATTTATTGTGGGTCAGATTGCTAGTCCTGAATAATTTTGGTTTTTGTATGTCTAAAAAATGTTTCATTTTGCCATGGTTTTTGAAAAGTATTTTCACTGAATATAGAATTATGAATTGAAATTTCAATTGTCTTTAGTACTTCAAAGATATTTCTCAGTTGTCTTCTCTTGTGCATTGTTTCTTACTGGGGAAATCTCATGTTGTTCTTATCTTTGTTCCTCCATACATAACATACCGCTTGTTCTGTTTGATTTTAAGATTTTTCTCTGTATCTCTTGATTTGAGCAATTTGGTCTTGATGCACATGTGTGCAGTTTCCCTCATGTTGCTTGTAGTTGGGGTTCATTGAGATTCTTGGACTTGTGGGTTTACAAATTTGAAAAAATTTTGGGCATAATTTCTTTAAATATTTTTTTCTGACTCTCCAACCTCTTTGAGGATGCCAGTTACATGTATATTGGGCTATGTTGAACAATAGCTTACTGTTTATCTATTCCCTTTAAAAAATTCTTTCTCTCTGTGCTTCATTTTACATAGCATCTATTACTGTCTCTCAAAGTTCACTGTTAATTTCTTCTGTGTAATCTTCTGTTAATTCTGTTCATGTATGTTCTTTCTCA
Source organism: Homo sapiens (assembly GCF_000001405.40). Lineage (NCBI taxonomy): Eukaryota > Metazoa > Chordata > Mammalia > Primates > Hominidae > Homo > Homo sapiens. Next base: position 16,852,285 of record NC_000008.11, on the reverse strand, counting down.
TACATTGCAGTTTTCATCTCTAGAAATTCCACTGGCTGTTGTTTTTATATCTTCTGTGTCTGTAATTTGCCTTTTGGATATACCAAATACAAATATACCATTTTAATGCCCATATCTAGTCATTCTAAATTCTGTGTCAGTTCTGGGTCACTTTAGATGAATTTTTATCCTCATTTTGGATTGTTTTTTTTACTGCTTCTTTATGTGCCTGGTAGTTTTTTTTATTAGATGCCAGATATTGTGAATTTTACCTAATTGGATGAAGGGTAGTTTTGTTATGGATATAGATCCTTTTAGATATCACTTTTGCAGTTTCTTCAATAGGACTGGATCAGTGCATAGAGAACTGCACAGCAATTAAGTCTAAATATTCCCCCACAGTGAGCAAGGCCTTTCTGTGTATATTCTACCCAACGTCACATTATTATTGAGGCCTGACTGATGGAAATAAGCACTGTTCTTAGGCCCTGTGTATTTCTTTTCCTAGCCTCATGTGCTTCCTTTTGTGTGTTTTGCTCATCAGTACTCAGCCGAATACTCAAGGAAGACCTTAGCAGATCACTGGAATTCTCTCTTCATGCAGCTTTCTTTTCTTTGGCACTCTGTCCCAAGACCTTTTGCTATTTTGGTTTTCCTGGACTCTCATCTCCAAATCCTCAACTCAAAGAGTCTACTAGGCTCTACTTGGGTTTCTGCTCTCTGCACATAGCCTGGAAACTATTTCATGGCAGTACACTGGGACAGTCATAGGGTTCACCTCTTTCAAGGATCATTGTCCTTCATTGCCTAATGTACTGTGTCTTGCCAACGTTGTTCCATATATTTTTGTATTTTTTTCAAGGAGAATAATTCCCTTGTGTTTTCCTCCATCTTCTCCAAAACTGAAAGTCCCCTGAAATAGCATCATCTTACATTTTATTATATTTAAAATTGCCTTTACAATTTTAGGAAGTAAATTATAGACTTAGATAATTTTAAGGAAACATTTTTTAAAGAAAAACTGTAAAGTTATATGCTAGGTTACCTAAATAATTGAATATATTGTTCTGATTAAGGCATTCATCCTCCCATAGAATCCAGTTAGTATATAGCATTTGAAAGAAGTAGTTCACCTCACTAGATCTCATAAATGACAAATTTTACAATTCCCAAATATACGTGATTTATCACTAGTTTTAAATAAGGCTAAGTTACTGACTTCAAAATTTATCATAAGAAAATAAGAGAGAAACAAAGTTTATCCATGTATATCTCTTATGCATTTATTCATTTTTTTGTCAGCTTGTACATTCTGTTTCAATACATTTGGTATAGGCGAACCACTGGATCGTCCCTGAGGAACTTCTGTAAGAAGAAAATGAAAGCTGAGATCAATAACCAAATCATATGACCATTTGGAGATACAGTACTTCCACATGTCTTGCTGGGTGTGTCAAAACTGCAAATCTCTGAACATCCTTTTACCTGAGCCACTTCTCAGAGTTATTTATGCAGTGGATACATTTGAGAGATGAGGTAGTTTCTTCTTCTAGACAAAGAATGTGTTTGCTTAGTGCTTGCTTTAATAGCAGTGGGGATCCTAAACTCAGTGTTCCTCAACTACAGTGCAAATTCACTGTGTTTGTAGCATCCACGTGGGTCATACACCATCACTTCTATGGGACATGTGGGTAAGGAGAACTGACACAAATGTTATAATGCTCATTTTGCTTGCTGTAGTTGGGGTTATTTGCCATGAGCAAATAAGACCTTGGTCTCTGATCCTGGGGTCTTGTGTCTTCTGTTTGCATCCATGAAACAGTTACATTCTATTTAGTAGATTTATTAGTTTTTAAGTTGGATGAAGTCAAATCCCAGACTGAATAATAGTTTTTCAAAGTTATTTCACTCTGGTATTTATCTTCTTTAGTTATATGAAAATGATAACCTTAGCAAAACTTCACTTTGTAGTTAAAGATTCAAAGACATTTTCTTTCGTTTCCTTTCCTTTTCTTTTCTTTTTCTTTTTCTTTTTTTTTTTTTTTGAGACAGAGTCTAGCTCTGTTGCCCAGGCTGGAGTGCAGTGGCGCGATCTTGGCTCACTGCGCCCTCCACCTCCCCATTTCAAGCCATTCTTGTGCCTCAGCCTCCTGAGTAGCTGGGATTACAGGCATGTGCAACCATTAGCCTGGCTAACTTCTGTATTTTTAATAGAGACAAGGTTTTGCCATATTGGCCAGGTTGGTCTTGAACTCCTGGCCTCAAGTGATCTGCCCACCTCCGCCTCCCAAAGTATTGGGATTACAGGCATGAGCCACTGCGTCCAGCCTCAAAGACATTTTCAAATATTTTTTTCCTTGTGATTGTGGCAGAATTAAAATTAAAACGTGGATTAAAAATATAAATTGATTTTTCACAAAATAATCATTCCAACAGTCTCTTTCTTTACTTTGCATTATTTGGGAACCTTCCAAAATAAATTAATTAAATACAGCATACTGTAACTTACCTAGCCAAATGTCTTGTGTCTGAATTTGCATGTTTATATATGGATGTATGATGTAAGCTTCTATCTGCCCAGAAGGAGAAAGATCAACTAAAAAAAGCAAAAAATTCAGCTAACAGAGGCATGATGCAGAATTGTAAAATTTATTTTTCTTTCCAAATCTTTATTCTCTCTCAATTTTAGAAGTATGTCATATTTTCCGTAACGACACTTTACCATTCTAGTACTAATGACTTCTTTAATTGCATATGTATTTACTTTCTGTTAAATGCTAGGTGTTTTTATTTTATCTTTCCCTCTACTTAAATATAAAGACATGAAAGGTGTCATTATCTATTCTTAAGAAGCATTTGATAACTGTTTGGAGAAGTCTTTCATTTACTTTGATATTTTGATCTCTTACTTCAAGCCGTAACTAGTTCTAGGGCCTTTTCGTCCAGCAAGGTTTGAAACCACTTGGCAGTATTCAGTCAGTTTTGTTGAAATAACTATGTCTCATTTTCTCAATTTTTATAATGTAAGAACCCTAGAAAAATTTGTACCAAATTAGAATGCCATTATAATTTTAGAAAGTAAATTACACACTTTGAATATTTTAAGGAAGCATTTTTTTTAAAGACAGGAATAAGGGACACCAGAGATATACACTCATCAGTATCTGGTGAATAGGAAAAGATGATGACAGTTTAGGTTTGGCACACACATTTATCAGCTCCTTACTAGGAAGCCAACGGCTTTGCTGCTTTAGAGCCCAGGACTGGAGTCCTAGTCATTTACATTTTGTGTCATTTGGTCTGTATTAAGTTTTGTTTGGTCAGATAACAGTAATTAGGAGTGAATATTTCCAAAAGAATCTTTCCTCTGCTCTGCTTCTTGTAAAATTATCCAAAATTGAAAATATCATCTTTCTCTAGTTCAGCCATGAGCTGCAAATGAGTTCTGCGGGTTTTATGATAACCTCAAATATATTTGAGAGAATTTATTTGTGATTCTAAATTAGACAGAGTTAGATTAGAACTAGATGTACGAAGAACTTACCCGATATTCTTAGCATTAGGATCAACATTGTTTTACTTAATCATAAGAACCCATTCATAATTGATGGCCAACACCTCAGAATTTAAACATTTTGGATTTCCTCTCTTTTACACTCTCCCATTTAATCCCTAAGGCAGGGATTGCATTAATTCCATCCCACATTTATATCAATACTGCTTTACTCAGGATTTGTAGATATCTCTTGAGTTTGTTTCCTCCATAGTTAGGTTTTTAGGTAGAAAGCCTTTGCTAAGAAAACAATGCCTCCAGCACCTTTGGATGTGAGGGTGGTAAAGTGATTGATGTGTTAGAAGAGAGTGTTTGTTTTAAGATTAATAACGGGTGGTCTTATTTAGAATATTGGCCATTCTGTAGATAGAACTTGTCTTGAAAAAGAAATTTTCTAATTTCCATCTTGGTAGTCTCTTCTAGAGCGTAGATGTATCTAGACTAAATAGTATAGCACTTATGAAAACTTGGCATTTACTAAATTAAGAATTAAAATGGTCTCAGTTTAATTAAATAAATTAAATAAATAAATCATAATAAATAAAATATTCTTTTGGAATCCCGGGAACTTCAAAGAAAGTAGACTCAAAGGCAAGCTTTGGGATATTTAAATGATGCTTGTAGTTCAGTTTCCCTTACTTATTTAAAACATTGGCATCTGTATGACAGGCCTTCTTTCCATCTCAATCACTGCTATCATCCCGACTGGCTCTGGTATTCACATGGATGGAACAGCTAATGGCATGGCCTCTTCATTTGGGACCTCTTCATCTTCTCCTGTCACCATCTCCTCCTCTGTACCTGAGCCAGTGGCTCCCATACACAAGCCACTCATCTTAAGTAGGAGAAAAAACATTTTCACCTACCAGCTCATTAATTCACATATCCTACCCTATCATCACAGCCTCTACTCGCTCCAGTGAACTTATTCAGCTTTCCTTACTCCGATAATTCTTTGACCTCATCTGAACCTTCAATCCACATATTGTCTATTTTCTTCCAATCTTCTCTCTCTGCCACATTCAATACATTTAATCCCCACCCACATCTAACATTTTGGTTCACCTCTCTGGCAAAACTCAACTGAATATTAACCCTGTATGCATGTTTTCCTGCACTTGCATCTGAATAGGAGAGCACTTTTGGAGAATGTCATACAACAAGATTTGTTGGTTTCATAATCCATTTTTGATAATGACTTCAAATGGGCTTTCAACATTGCAGATTGTCTATGTCGGGTCAACAGTCTCTTTCACTATATTCAGATGGATTGATCTTAAATAAAAGGAGAAACAGCTTTTTTGTTGTAATGGGAGTCATGTTTCCAGGATGGGTGAAGCTACAAATATGTTTGTGAGTTGGCATAGGAAATACGAAATGAAAATGACCTCTCATTAATTTAGGAGGATAACCATCCCATAAATAAGGGTAATATTAACCAGGCCTGGTGTGGTGGCGTGAGCCTCCCAGCACTTTGGGAGGCCAAGGTGGGAGGATCACTTGACGACAGGAATTCAAGATCCATCTGGGAAACACAGTGAGACCTCATCTCTACGTAAAACAAAAACAAAAACTAGCTGAGCGCAGTGGCATGTGCCTGTAGTCCCAGTTACTTAGGAGGCTAAGATGGGAGGATTCCTTGAGCCTGGGAGGTTGAGGCTGCAATGAGCCATGATCATGCCACTGCACTCCAGCCTGGGAGAAAAAAAATCAAACCATGGTTAGTTTTATATATTAGCTTAGTCTTTCCTATGAAGACAGATTGTTAACATTATTTTCTACCTATCTATTATAAATTATTACCCACAATGGGCGAATTAGGAAACTTTTGTTCAGGTTTCTGGTATAAAGATTTGCTGAAGTGTGCTTCAAGTCATGAAGCAGTATTTTGACCAATGACAAACAGCAACAGATAAAATCACCTGGAAAGTTGACGTCTCTGGGCATTTCCCTTCCAATTGAACTTTGAACTGAGAGCCCTAAAAATTCATTTTCATCACATCACTTCTCTTCTGCAAACCTACCATAGGTTCCATTGCCTGCTATATTATGTCTCAAAAATAAAACATGGTTCTTCAAAGTCATCCATAATTTGATCCCATTCAATCTATTTAACATTATCTTTTACCATATATTAGCCTTATTTCAAAACCTTCTGATTCTCTCCATTGCCTGTCTCCTAATTCTCTGTCCCCATGTCTCTCCCTTTATAAATGTATGTTAGCCAGTTTGACTCGGGAACTGAGCAGGCACACGCTAGTAGCTGTAGGTGGAATTTCCCATTCATTTTTCCTGTTTGGAACCAGCTAATCCACATTCATGAGGCAGAATAAGCCCATGACCTGGGAAATAAAATTTGGAGAGAAGCATGTGGATCAGGAAAAGGAGAGAACATGGATATACTAAGTAGGAATTTCCAGAGCTGACTTTCAGGGAGGCCATTCAGATTGGGCACAATAATAATTCAAATTATTGGTCACCATATGCTTTCTTCTATGATTAATTTCTTTGGGCTTGGAGAAGGGGCAATTCTCAGGTCAGGATGGAGGACAAAAATACCAAATTCTTAACTCGCATTCTCAAATTGTGGTGGGCCATTTCTTAGTCGTAACATGCACACACACAGACACACACACACACACACCTGAAGGTGAACTGCTAGCACATCCACACTTCCTTAACCCATTTCCCAACCTTTTCCTCTCACCCACAGGCTAAATAGCTTTCCAGCTAAAGGGGAGGAGTGCTGGTAATAAAACAAGAAGGGTTGGGAGTGAACATGGGACTCAGCACTTTTCTTCCACTCCGCAGAACACGGGGCAGGTCTTTGTAAGGAGTAACATGAAGGAATTTATTTTTGCAGATTCAAGTCCTGTCTGGAACCCATTAGCAGCCTTACAGAGACAATGGACAGGGTGTTATTGGCAGAATCAGAGTTTGCTGACAATCCCAACTCTCTCAAGGACACCAGGAAGATGTGGCAGAGTTGTTCAATCTTTGTGTTATCTGCAAGGGTGTAGAAGATGGGAGGGAGGGCTGGTGAACCCCAAAGAGAGAGAAGAGGAGAGGAGAGGAAAAGAGAAGAGGAGAGATAGTGTCTCACTATGTTGCTCAGGCTAGTCTCAAACCTCTGAGCTCAAGCCGTCTTTCCACCTGAGCCTCCCAAGTAGCTGGGATTAAAGGTGTGCACCACTGTGAGTACCTCCCTGGCTCTGGTTTTATGTTGTGGGTCATATATGCAGTGCCTTTCACCTCATGATGCCCTAAAGACAACAGTGAGCCATTATAAGAAGCTCCCTCTTCTTTACATTCCTAAATCTTAAGCTCAATATGTCTTACCCCCACCAAAACTCCCCTTGTCTTTTTGTCAACATTTCCTCAATGAATCCACTCTTTCTCTACACATACTTCATTTTTAGTTTTCATGTGTATATTCCACACATATTACTGAGTTCCAGTATGAACCAGGAGCTTGGAAACACAAAGACTTTGCCTTCAATCTTCATCTTGTTTAGAATCCTTCGGGAAAGACAGACAACACAGTTACACAGAAGGAGAGAAAGGGATGTGTTTACCTTGAAAATCTGGGCAGATGTTAAAAATTCATGGCGCACTGGAATGGTCCATTGGACCTCAAATGGGGAGAGGGGTCTTCTGTTGAATTCTAGCTTTCCTTTTATCGATAGGCCAGATGGGTCTGTGGGATGTGAGATGAATACAATGGGCCAGAAAGAAATCCTGGCTGGAGGTGGAAGGAAATCAGAGGGGTTGTGGGTCAACTTTAGGTTCAGGATTTAGGTACCAATCTCACCTCGATCAGTAAGTCACAACTAGAAGGAAGCCCCTGTCTCAGTTTCCTCACCTGTAAAACCAAAGTGGTTGATCCATGATCTTCCTTGGTTTTAGATGATTAGAAATGATATGTAGGAGGCAATTTGTGTGGGATCAGACATAAAAGCATAAGCTTTACTTTTCAATAAATAAAAATCATGAATGAAACTTCTCGTAGTTTCCCTTCTGCCTCTGGGGCTCTAAGTGAATAAAAGTAGAAAAAAGCTGATATCTAACATGCCTATCTCCTTGACCTCTGGTCCTATGACACCTAAAATTTGGAATAATTGGAGAAACCCTTCAAGTTGGAAATAATCCTGAATTTATTTCGAAGCCTACTCTATGTGTTTTCTCTGTGATAAAAAAACAGTTCTAGCATAGTAATGTTTCTTGGTTTTCCAGTTAGAGACAATCTGAAGGACAGGAATTTAGCTCATAGTGTTCATTAAACGTGTAATTCCTTTCTTATGCCAAAAAACCTTTCCCTTATTAGAAGCCCCACTATCCTCCACACCTTCCTAACTTCCTCTCTGATGTGCTCATGGGCTTAGTTCCCCATGGAATTTTTCTGACAATGTAGATGGTAAACTCTACAGAGAGTAAACTCAGGACCTGTTGACTTCGATAACAAAGTCCAAAAACGGAGACTCTTCTTTGTGCTTTGCAGGCACCTGTCTATATAAACACACTGCACTCCAGGTGAATAGTATGCCCAAACAGAGGCCACAGAGATGAACAAACTCACCTCTTGAATGGGGAAAAGATGAGCGGATCGACTCATAGGGCAATACAAAAATGACAGCATTCAGGATGTTAAGGTACAGTCTCACTGTGGGGAAAATTTTACTTCTGATGGTACGATTTTTCTACCTACATCTTTTGATTACCAGTGTGTAAGGGGTTAGAACTTTTGAAATCCATCCTGCCATTGTCATTTACAAAATCATTCTCTATTGTGATAAATTATAAAAAAGAAAAAGTGTACAGGGCCAAATGTTGCCAGTAAATCTACTCTAAGAATACTAGATGTGTTCTTTCATTCCCTGTCAACCCTCCAGGCCCGACGATCAGAAGTGTTTGTAATAAGCAAATGCCACTGCTTAAAAATCCTGCCAAAAAACTCCAATGAGTTTTAAACTGGATTATTTTAAAGGTCAACAGATACAAATGTTCAAAACATAATAAGTCCTTGAAATGTGAAATTTTGTCTTATTTTCTCCTGAGAATTATTAACAGTTTGAAATCAAATGGAAATAAGGAAAAATCATAAGCTCTTGGCAAAGGTCAAAAGATGAGGATCTCAAATTCAATTCCTATCCCTCAATTAACAGTGCACTGGAACTTTACATCCTGAGAAAGTGTCAGTTGGTTTGGAGAAAATTCATATATGCAAACCTTTCACCTTCTTTTCAGATGTGATTTGCATTTCGGTGTTTGTTTAGGGGGAATTTCACATTGGAATTCTGCTGAGTGGTTAGAATTTGCTGCAGTGACGAACAGTGTTGCTGCAGATGCAGCCTCGCAGCACCCAGCTTCAGCTGCCTTGCTTATGTTTTGTTTTTTCCTGCTGGCTTCTCCATTCCGCCCCTGTGAACTTGGACCAATGGGGTGGGAGCCAAGGTATAAATAACCTTTGCTTTCCCACCTTTGGGTGGATAATCAGAGGCACATTATATGTAGTACCTCGGAGAGTTCCCAGTTAGGGTACCAGATAAAATACAAGATGCCTAGGAAAATTTGAGTGTCAGATAAACAACAAACACTTTTTAAAAGTATAAATATGTCCCAAATATTTCTTGAGATATACTATTAAAAAGTGTTCTCATTGTTCAATTCCCACCTATGAGTGAGAACATGTGGTGTTTGGTTTTTTTGTCCTTGCGATAATTTGCTGAGAATGATGGTTTCCAGCTTCATCCATGTCCCTACAAAGGACATGAACTCATCCTTTTTTATGGCTGCATAGTATTCCATGGTGTATATGTGCCACATTTTCTTAATCCAGTCTATCATTGTTGGACATTTGGCTTGGTTCCAAGTCTTTGCTATTGTGAATAGTGCCGCAATAAACATACGTGTGCATGTGTCTTTATAGCAGCATGATTTATAATTCTTTGGGTATATACCTAGTAGTGGGATGGCTGGGTCAAATGGTATTTTTAGTTCTAGATCCCTGGGGAATCGCCACACCGACTTCCACAATGGTTGAACTAGTTTACAGTCCCACCAACAGTGTAAAAGTGTTCCTATTTTTCCACATCCTCTCCAGCACCTGTTGTTTCCTGACTTTTTAATGATCGTCATTTTAACTGGTGTGAGATGGTATCTCATTGTGGTTTTGATTTGCATTTCTCTGATGGCCAGTGATGATGAGCATTTTTTCATGTGTCTTTTGGCTGCATAAATGTCTTCTTTCGAGAAGTGTCTGTTCATATCCTTTGCCCATTTTTTGATGGGGTTGTTTGTTTTTTTCTTGTAAATTTGTTGGAGTTCATTGTAGATTCTGGATATTAGCCCTTTGTCAGATGAATAGATTGCAAAAATTTTCTCCCATTCTGTAGGTTGCCTGTTCACTCTGATGGTAGCTTCTTTTGCTGTGCAGAAGCTCTTTAGTTTAATTAGATGCCATTTGTCAATTTTGGCTTTTGTTGCCATTGCTTTTGGTGTTTTAGACATGAAGTCCTTGCCCATGCCTATGTCCTGAATGGTATTGCCTAGGTTTTCTTCTAGGGTTTTTACGGTTTTAGGTCTAACATTTAAGTCTTTAATCCATCTTGAATTAATTTTTGTATAAGGTGCAAGGAAGGGATCCAGTTTCAGCTTTCTTCATATGGCTAGCCAGTTTTCCCAGCACCATTTATTAAATAGGGAATCATTTCCCCATTTCTTGTTTTTGTCAGGTTTGTCAAAGATCAGATGGTTGTAGATATGTGGCATTATTTCTGAGGGCTCTGTTATGTTCCATTGGTCTATATCTCTGTTTTGGTAGCAGTACCATGCTGTTTTGGTTACTGCAGCCTTGCAGTATAGCTTGAAGTCAGGTAGCATGATGCCTCCAGCTTTGTTCTTTTGGCTTAGGATTGACTTGGCAATGCAGGCTCTTTTTGGTTCCATATGAACTTTAAAGTAGAGAACACATGGACACAAGAAGGAGAACATCACACACTGGTGCCTGTTGTGGGGTGAGGGGAGTGGGGAGGGATAGCATTAGGAGATATACCTAATGTTAAATGACGAGTTAATGGGTGCAGCACACCAGCATGGCACATGTATACATATGTAACTAACCTGCACATTGTGCACATGTACCCTAAAACTTAAAGTATAATAATAATAAAAAAGAATTCACAGAGATAAGAATAAAAAAATAAAAAATAAAAAGTATTCCTTGTTTATCTGAGATTCAAATTTAGCTGAGTGTTGGGTAATTTTGTTTATTTTTTGTTTGTTTTGAGACAGGGTCTTGCTCTGTTGCCCAGGCTGGAGTGCTCTGCAGCCTCAACCTCCTGGGCTCGGGTGGTTCTCCCATGTCCACCTTCTGAGTAGCTGGGACGACAGGCATGTACTACCAGGCCAAGATAATTTTTGTATTTTTAGTAGAGATGGTGGTTTCACCATGTTGGCCAGTCTGGTCTCGAACTCCTGAGCTCAAGTGATCCGCCCACCTTGGCCTCTCAAAGTGCTGGGGTTACAGGCATGAGCCACTGCACCGGAGTGTTGGATATTTTTATATGCTAAATGTGGCAACCCTCTTGCCAACGGTATTGAGACCTAGACATCCATAGCAGTAACCAGTGCAACACCTCACCCTGGGATTGGATTGGCTTCTTTCCCGGTTTCATTCTTTCCAATCTCCTCCAATTCCAGTTCTCTGGCCTTACAGCCTCCAATACACTGTCCAGGAACAAAGGCTTGTCTCGGGTTATGCTTTTATGGAAACCCAAACTAAAATATAAGGCTGACTCTAAAGTACTGTTGATTATAATACACTGGAGTTATATTTGAGTCTTAGTATTTTCTAAATAAGCCACTTGTCTGCCAAGTTCTCTTTTATTCATATATAATAGTTGTATATATTTTTAGGGTACCTGTGATATTTTGATACCTGTACACAATATGTATGAGTCAAATCAGGGCAGTTGGGATATCTGTCACCTCGAATATTTATATTTTCTTTGTGTTGGGAATATTTTAATTATTCTCTTCTAGCCATTTTGATATATACAATAAATTATTGTTTACTGTAATTTTTCCACTGTGCTATTGAATATTAGAACTTATTCCTTCTATCTAACTGTATTTTTGTACTCCTTAGCCAACTTCTCTTCATCACTTCTATCCTTTTCCCTTTCCAGCCTCTGACATCCAACCAGATAAACTCTGATCTCCATGAGATCCACTTTTTTATCTCCCAACTATGAGTGAGAACATGCAAAATTTATATTTCTGTGTCTGGCTTATTTCACTTAACACAGTGACCTCCAGTTCCATCCATGTTGCGGCAAATGACAGGGTTTCATTGTTTTTATGACTGAATAATATTTCAGCATGTGTGTGTATATATATATATATATAATATTATGTATATATTTATTTTCTGAAATTAAGAGAAGATTGATTAGAACTGCCAAATTAATGTTTTGTGAGGGTCCAGAGCTGCACCCCCTCACCCATGGAAATCTGTAATTTCTGAGATGCTACTGCTCTTAGAGTTATATCTGCTGTAAACTGTTGATTCTGTGAATCAGATCAGTTTATGAATTATTTCACCCTTCTGCATGCCCTGTTTTAGTTCTGCCCACTGATAATCCAGCCGCCCACTGATAATCCAATTCTGCCCACTCAATCCCCAACCAAGAATTGAAAGCCAACTTCAACCAAGAACTAACCAGCTAAACAAACAAAATCACAAGAAGAATTGATACAAGCAGTAAACTTTTAAATTTTTATTTTGTTTTGATTTTAATTTTTAATTTTATGGGTACATAGTAGGTGTATATATTTTTTGGTCATATGAGATATTTTGATACAGGCATGAAATGTGGACTAATCACATCAGGATAAATGGGGCATCCATCCCCTCAAGCATTTATCCTTTGTGTTATCAACAGTCCAATTATACTCCTGTAGTTATTTTGTTTTACTTTTTTTTAACTTTTAAGTTTAGGGGTACACGTGCAGGTTTGTTATACAGGTAAACTTATGCCATGAGGGGTTGTTATATAGATCACCCAAGCATTAAGTCTAGTACCCACTTGTTGTTTTTCCTGATCCCCTCCTTCCTCCCACCCTCAACCCTCCGAATAGCCCCAGTATGTGTTGTTCCCCTCTATGTTTGCACGTGTTATCACCATTTAGCTCCCACTTATAAGTGAGAACATGCAATATTTGGTTTTCTGCTTCTGCGTTAGTTTGCTAAGAATAATGGTTTCCAGCTCCATCTGCGTTCCTGCAAAGGACATGATCTCGTTCTTTTTTATGGCTGCGTGGTATTCCATGGTGTATACATACCACACTTTCTGTATCCATTCTATCATTGATGGGCATTTAAGGTGATTCTATGTCTTTGCTATTGTGAATAGTGCTGTAATGAACATATGCATGCATGTGTCTTTATAATAGAATAATTTATAATCCTTTGGGTATATACCCAGTAGTGAGATTGGAGGGTCAAATGGTATTTCTCTCTTTAGGTCTTTGAGGAATCACCACATGTTTTTTTCTATTAGATTTTTTAGTTCCTTATAGATGCTGGATATTAGACCTTTGTCAGATGCTTAGTTTGCAAAAATTTTCTTTCAAGAAGTTGTTCCATGGCCCTGCAAGTAGTAAATGAAAAATCCAGGATCCAAATTCTAGGTATATTTGAATTCAGAGTCCAGATGTTTGGGAAATATTTGGGAAATAGAGATATTGCTAAGCCTAGTGGGTAGGGAGATGAAACTGGTTAGAATTAGGCCTCCTGGTGGTAGAATAAAGAATTTTGAGAGTTAGTTAATGTAAAATTTACTGTAATTTCTCTCTTTTCTTTCTAACTATATGTTGATAAAGTTCTTCTTGGTAAGATTTGAACACTGTAGACCTAAATCTTAATTTGTCATAAATCATGTCCTGTCACTGATAAATACTTATAAAGGAAAGCTTGAATCTTTAAACACAATTGATGTCCTGACTCCAGTTGCAAACTTAATTTCCCATCTTAGTTCAACCATTTGGAATTTCTGTGGTTAGTATGGTGACTAAGCTGAGGAACTACACTTGCTGCTTTGATAATGATTCAATCTCATTTTGCTTACAGAAAAAAAAAATTCTCACCCCGTAGCAAACTCAAGGGAAGAAAGGCAAGTTAGGAGAAACATTAGACATTAGAAAAAGCCTTTGCATGTTATTGCTGAGATAAAGATAAAATAATTCTTTGGCTTTGTTATAATACAGGAGTCATTTCCTTATGGTCTTTGAACTCTAACTTCTTAAATATCTTTAAAGTTGATTGGCAAAAGATATTATTAGTAGGTAAGAGGCACAGAGCCACATTGTATTTTTGACTTCTGTTGTAGTATTTTTTTTAAGCCCAAGAGAGAAAACTGAAACTTTATTTTAGATCTTAGAATGAATCTTTGATACCTGTTCATCCACTATGGAAACAGTCAACTTTGTATTCAAAATCAAACTAAATAATTTTTATTTCACTCTCGCCTCTTGGAGTGATTGTTTTCTTTTGCAAATTGCATCTCCAATCAGCTTATTTCCTTTATGTTAAAATTTTGTTTGGGTGAATTTAGCTTTTCATATATTTTGGGGAGAAACCTTACTAAGAGGGGTATATACATTTGTTTTCAAACCTGTAGTTGTATTTATTTAGTAAAATTGCTTCCAATTACATGTGTGTTGCAGGTAGAGCTGCTTATACTATTCTGTTAATTCTATTGTATGTTTAACTTGTTCTTTGTTCCTGGTATTTTGCAAAAGATTGGGCCCAAAGGGGGCAATCAAGAACAATAATACCACCAGGAGCTGAAAAACTCTTCTCCACCTTTGTAAATGAAGTCTAGAGTGACACAAATCTTGTTTGAAGAGCTTACGGTGTGGTGCTGGAGAATTAGTTTTTGATTATAAACCTCCTTCTCTTTCTTAATCAGATAAACTGTCTGGCCTGAAACACAGGTCTTTTGTTTTCACAGACAGCTCTGTTTTCTTTCCCAAGGAGGTTATGTACAGCATAAGGATGTATTTCAGTCAAAGAGGAGAGCTTATTCAATTTGTATAATTTCATTCACCTTATAATAGTTGTGAGAGAGGAAACTATATATATAGTTATATAAATTATTTTGGGAGTATCTGAGGTGAGAAAATTATTTGCATCTTACTAATTTGTTCAAGTGTAACTAGGCTATTTTATTTTTAAAAATGTGTTTGTTTCACCAATTTTTCAATGGAGAGTCCAACTATACGTGGTTAACAAAGTCTCAAAATATTCCTTTGCCACATCACTATTCATTAAGCTTAAAATTATAAGCTTAATTATAATGGTACAGACATAGCTCTTACTTTGCAATAATAATTACATAGGTTATATTTAATTTTTTTACTTGACATTTGTAATTTTTTGACTTTTTTATGTTTCTGTATGGCTGAATAGCTAAAAGATATCCTAATGTCGTGACATAATTTTTATTTTTTAAAGCCAACCATTCACCAAGTGTTTGGCAATAAAATTGCTGTTTTTCTCCCCTTTATCTCCCTCCGTCCCTTTCTTCTTTAATTTTTAAAGCTTCTATAGATAGCTAGCCTATAAATAAGAGTATTTTCTTTGATATTATCATAATACATAGTTTTATGATTGTATTAGTCTGTTTTCAGGCTGCTGGTAAAGACATACCTGAGACTGAGCAAGTTACAAAAGAAAGAAGTTTAAGGGACTCACAGTTCCACGTGGCTGGGGAGGCCTCACAATCGCGGTAGAAGGTGAAAGGCAGGTCTCACGCGGTGGCACACAAGAGAAGAATGAGAGCCAAGTGAAAGGGGTTTCCCCTTATAAAACCATCAAATCTCATGAGACTTATTCACTACCATGAGAACAGTTTGGGGGAAACTGCCCCCATGATGCAATTGTCTCCCATCAGGTCTCTCCCACAACATGAGGGAATTATGGGAGCTACAATTCATTGAGATTTGGGTGGGTACACAGCCAAACCACATAAATGACTCTTCTTAGATGTTTTGTAAATGCTTTATTAACAGATTAGCCAATTTATTACATTTACTTACAAACAATTATTTTCTTTTATATGAAATATGTTTATAATATATATAAAAATGGAGATGTGAGGAAGACAAGGAGGCATCCTCTAGCATGGTGGGTGCTTCTGTGGGGCTTCAGTGGTCTCCACCTGGCATTCACAGTTTTATAAACTCCCCTCCCCTTGAGTAATTTGCTTCTAACCATAGAATATGGTAACATTGAGGGGATGCGACTTTTGCAATTAAGTAATGAAAGATTGTGACTTCTGTCTTGCTAGTGACACTCTCTCTTATTGGCTTTGATAAAGCAAGTTGCACGTTAAAGAGGCCTATATAGGAAGGAACTGAGAGTAGCTTCTGGCAACAGCCAGCAAAGAACCCTCAGTTCAGAATCCTCAAGGAAATGAGTCCTGAGCACACCCATGTACGTGAGCTTGAAAGTGGATTTGTCCTCAGTTGAGCCTTTGGAGGAGACTTCAGCCCTGGTCAATAACATGATCCTTGTGAGGAAACTCTGAAACACAGGTACCAGCTAAGCTGTGCCTGGATTCTTGGCTCACAAAAACAGTAATAAAATAAACGGGTATTGTTTTATGTTGCTAAGTTTTAAGGATAATTTGTTACACAGCAATAGGATAACTAATAAAATTGTTAATATTTCATTGTTTCTTTTCAAGTCTTTTTTCTAAGGAATAAACATATACATATTAAAAGTGGGGTAATGGAAACACAGTTTTGCTTTGCGATATTTTCCATACATTTCTATGATGCCAAATAATGCTTCAAAATCAGATTTTTTTTTTTTTTTTTTTTTTTTACAGACAGGGTCTTGCTCTGTCGCCTAGGCTGCTGGAGTGCTGTGGCATGATGATAACTCACTGTAGGGCTCATATTGCTGATCTATGATTTTATTTAGCATATTAATCTAAAACCTAATTACTTAGATTAAAAAACATTTTAGAGGATGATAAATCATATTCCCAAATTCCATTCTGGGAAGACTGCACTAATTTCTTCTTCCTACTGGAGATGTGCAAGGCCCGTTCCCTTATCCCATAATGGTCAATGCTGCTATTATAATTATTTTTCTTATTTAACAACTTAATAGGTGAAGAATTTTATTCATTTTAACTTGCATTTTTGATTTCTAACAAATTTGATCAAAGTTTTACAATTTGGTTGGCTGTTTACTTGGATATTCTATTTTTAGTGAAATTCTGGGTTGATATTTTCATCCTTTTTATTGTATTTATCTTTTTAAATTGTTTTTAAGAATGATTCTCTTTAAAAGCATTTTGTTAGATTTTTATTAGAGAGTATACAAACAGTTTTTTAAAGTAATGCATTGTACTTTGAAAATCATTGTGTTTGAAAATTACATTACTTTGACCTTGATTTTGGAACAAAGGGAACCAATATATTTGATTTTTTTTTTTTTTTTTTTTTGAGAGAAGTGTCCCACTCTGT
This sequence comes from Homo sapiens, assembly GCF_000001405.40. Lineage (NCBI taxonomy): Eukaryota > Metazoa > Chordata > Mammalia > Primates > Hominidae > Homo > Homo sapiens. The sequence goes on along the minus strand of NC_000008.11, from coordinate 16,835,214 downwards.
CACCAAGCTGGAGTGCAGTGGTGCGATCTCGGCTCTCTGCAACCTCCACCTCCCGGGTTCAAGTGATTCTCCTGCCTCAGCCTCCCTAGTTGCTGGGACCATAGGCCTGTACCACCACGCCTGGCTAATTTTTGTATTTTTAGTAAAGACGGGGTTTTACCAGGTTGGCCAGGATGGTCTCGATCTCTTGACCTTGTGATCCACCTGCCTTGGCCTCCCAAAGTGCTGAGATTGCAGGTGTGAGCCGCCATGCCCAGCCATATTTGCTTTTTTATTGAGATGAAGGCTTGCTCTGTCACCCAGGCTGGAGTGCAGTGGCACGATCTCGGCTCACTGCAACTTCCACCTCCTGGGTTCAAGTGATTCTCCTGCCTCATCCTCCCGAATAGCTGGGAGTACAGGTGAACGCCACCACTCCCGCCTAATTTTTGTATTTTTAGTAGAGATGGGGATTCACCATGTTGCCCAGGCTGGTCTCAAACTCCTGACCTCGTGATCTGCTTGCCTTGGCCTCCCAAAGTGCTGGGATTAGAGGCGTGAGCCACCATGCCGGGCCAATATATTTACTTTTTTAGCAACCTCTTTCTCTCTCTCTCTCTCTCTCACACACACACATGTGCACAAACACACAGACATACACACATCCACACATTCATTGTTGACATTCCATCTACTAAAAATATAATGTCAAAGAGTCTTTATTGAATTTGGATCATTCAAATTTATTGAATTTGAAATTAAAAGCATTTTGAATTGCTTTTAATTTATGTTAGCATCATAATGTATATCTCACTTAATATTTACAACAACCCTGTCTGGGTAGGCCTAGGAGGTTTTATTATTCTACTTTATCAAATTAAATGCAGCTCAGAAAATGTACATAGTTGATCCAAAGTTATCGAGCTTAGTAATTGGTGGAGTTGAAGACCAAGTTGGGTTTTCTGACTTTATATCTAACACTTTTTTCTTCATGACTTTTCTCCATATCCCATGTCTGGTATTATTCTAGGTATAGAAGCCTGTAGACAAGCGAGGGCAGGGTGCTAATATTTATAACGTGCTACGTGCATTAGCTCATTTAATTCTTACAATCCTGTAAGGTAATTATTTCCTAATTTTTATTAAAAAGTGAATACAAGTCTCAAAGAATTATTTGCTCAAGGTTATAAAATCAATCGAGGGTTTTATCTGGCGCTTAAGCAGACTGTATTAAGCCTGTGGTTTTCTCTTCTATCATTTAGAAATAGTTTAGCATATGGAACTTGTGGAATGTAATTATAGAGCCATTTTCCCTTAATATTTCTATTTTCCCACAGTCTCTGCACTTTCTTTTCAGGACTCTTCCACCAGTACAGGAGATTTTATTGGGGCTGAATTTTTCACCTGGTCAGCATCTACTCTCTGGATAGGGTTTATGTCAGGCATTGCCTCTTCCAGGAAGCCTGGGCTATCTTGAACTTTCTTTGTCCCTGTTCAGACCCTACGTATAGTTCCATCATGGCACTCATCTCATTGTATTTTCTTTATTTGTTTAAGTATCTGCCTAAGCATTTTAGACTGTGGATTTCTAGAGGTCTTGGAGGACTGCTTATGATTCATTTCTAATTCCTTGCCTAGGACAGTGCCTAGCTCATAGCTGGTATTCAGTAAATGTTAAATGAATGAGTGAGTTAAGGGATGGATGGATGGGATGCTCTAGCTGGGGGATTGCAGCTGGCTCATCAGCTGTTCTGTAAAGCATAGGAATCTGGGGTGCTTCCATTGTACATATATTTGATCTTCGCTTGTAAGAGAATTCCATAAGAAAGAATCAGAAGAAGATTTTCTTTCAGTCTTTCCCTCCTTCACTATAGGGTATCTATTTGAAGCATTTAAAGTAAAGTCCAAAAGAGCAAGGTAAAACAACTTAAATGTGACATTTTAGACTAAACATCTATTCCAGTTATTTACATTATAGAACAGAGAGCTAGAGGGGGTGTGTGTGTGTCTTTACATTTTTGTATTTTATGCAGATAGTAAAGGTCTTAGCAGTAAGAATAAGGGAAATTATATCAGCCTAGTTACTCTCTGCAAGGCGTTTCTGGGGATCCCATAGGGTTCTAAAGAACAAATTTGGAAAGTCTATGGCACAGAGGATACACATTTGACTTTTACTTTTTTGTTGGACAAATCTGAAGTAGTCACAGATTCCGTGCATGAGCATGGATATGTGTATAGCTACATATGGTATTTATTTTACAGATTAATTAGTTATAGGGTAGAGTTGTTTAAATACTAAACATAAATTGCAATTCTATCATTCTTGTTAATTTCTGCAGGAAGAAATTGGAGGCAGTGATAATTATCTTCATCATGTTTTATAGAAGAGAATTTAAAAACTTTTTTCTGAAAAATTAAAAATATTAAATATGAACTACTAATTACACACCAAATATACACACATGCACACACACACAACTAAAATCCCTTCGTTTCTTTTGGTTAGTAGTTTACCTGTGACTCACTTTTAATTTCTTTTTTAGAGATCTCCCTATGTTGCTCAGTGTGGTCTTGAACTCCTGGGCTCAAGGGATCCTCCCACCTTGGCCTCCCAAAGTGTTGGGATTATAGGCGTGAGCTACTGGGCCCCGCTTCTCTGACTCACTTTTAAATTAAAATGCATGAGATGAGATGTGAGTAGCGTGGAGTAATTTCCTCTTTAGCGGGCTGCCGGATGAAAGTGACCGATCTTTAAACTTCAAAGCACCAGAAAAGATGTAAACAATTAAATTAAATCAATAATTAAAACTGAATAATGACATGTTACAAAACGTTAGCCATATTGTAGCCGAATGTGTAGTGAAACTGTGTGGTGCAGAGTAGAACCATGTGTGCGCATTGGCCCTATTTAAAATTGTGTAATTTGGAGACATTTCTTGAGAAATCAGCTGGGTGACTGCCAGTTTTGATCAAAGGTGAAGCTTCTGGCAGAATGCTATAAATCCCTAAGATCCTTGGGGTGATTACAGCGGTTATCTCAGCTGAAGAATTTGACAAATACACAGAGCATGTTGATACGATTAATGAAAGAGAAAGACTTCTAAAAAAGAAAGAATTTCAAGAGGATGAAACTTCTGAATGTTCATACTGATGGTTCTATTTCAGGGTCAAAACATGTATATAATAAATCCTCATTGGTGTCTCCTTTTTTTCAAAGATGCAAAATGTCATTCTCAGAAGAATTAGATTTTTGAAAAAATTCTAATTGTGGTAGGTAGTCTCTTTAATTCCTAACGGAATTCTATACCCTAAAAAAATATGAACCATCTGCGTGCCTGTTGATTTCCATTCAGCAACTGGACTGTGCAACTAGCCACACACAGGCTGCAGCACCATCTAGCTAAATTCCAAGGTAATTCATGACAGCTTTGCTTCTGGTCTGTAATTATTTCAGCTTTTCTTTTCATCTCTAATGATACTGTCTTATATAGATGTTTTTGTTTTCTCTTCTTAAACTCAGCCTTTGGGGATTTTAAAAATCCCCATTTAAATAGTATAATGTGGCAAATGAAGTCCTACTCCTATGAAGGAGAATTTATTAGTGATTTAAAGTCCGGACATGTTATAAAAGCATTTGGTTATATAATAAACATGAGGCTCTGATTTCCTTTGCGTTTTTGGGAGGCTGTTCCATGGAGTTGCTAAAATTCCAAGATCAGTCACCTCTACTTACACTTGAAATACATTTTTGATGGTCAAGACTAGGTTAGGGTAAGAGAGCATCTTTAAATAATACACATTTCCCCAACAGATCAACTCTGGCAGGCCTTGAATGCCAGGGTGAAGAGAGAACGCAGTAATAGAATGTAAGGTGAGTTGGGGGATGCTGGCGACAAAGGCAGGATCTGAGAGGCAGAAGATGGCTTTAAAAAGGAGAATCAGCCAGGCGTGGTGGCTCATGCCTATAATACCAGCAGTTTGGGAGGCCGAGGCAGGTGGATCACCTGAGGTTAGGAGTTCAAGACCAGCCTGGCCAACATGGTGAAACCCTGTCTCTACTAAAAATACAAAATTAGCTGGCTGTGGTGGTGCACGCCTGTACTCCCAGTTACTCGGGAGGCTGAGACAAGAGAATCACCTGAACCCTGGAGGCAGAGTTTGCAGTCAGCTGACACAGTGCCACTGCACTCCAGCCTGGGTGACAGAGGAAGATTGCATGTCAAAAACAAAACAAAACAAAACAAAAGCCAAGAGACTTTAAAAGGAGAGTGTAGAAAGAGGAGATGGAGACACTAAACAGAGAAATCAGACCAAGGGACAGACAAGGGTTGACCTGGGGGACTGAAAGAATAAGAATAAAGGAGGTCCAACAAAGAATTAAAAAAAAAAAAGGAGGGAATAATAGAAGAAAGCCGAGAATAGAGATTTGTTTTCACCTTCAGAGTTAACTTTAGTATGTGATACTACCTATTTGAAAACCAGGATCCATAAACTGGAACCAAATCAACACTGTTAATAGCTAACTAGCCCCACTAACATTCACTTTTTTGATCTTAACTTGATAGGTAGACATTTACACCAGCTGACAGGACATTTTGAAATATGAAGTTAGTGCTTTTATTTATTTATTTATTTTTTATTCATTGTCAGGGTCAGTTTACATCCCTGCAAAGAAAAAGTACTTAAAGAAAAGTGAGATTTGGTATGAAAAATGTGTTATGTATTACTAATCTTTCCTTTTCCATAGTTGGTGATGCTGAGATGTTCACGGGTGGCCAAAAGATGTTGAGAGATATTCATAGCTTCCTCCGTGGGAATAGATTGTTTTGATGTATGAAATCACATTTCAAATGGCTGTTCTTACGGACCTCTAAGTGCCTTACACAACAAGGCAATTCATAGCACACACATGCAAGGATTTTTGGCGGTTCCTTAATGTAAAAAAATATAAACGGCAGGGCGGGGCGGGGCACCTTTACAAATATATTTGAAAAAGAAACGATTTTTATTTTATTTTTATTTTTGAGACAGAATCTTATTCTGTCACTCAGACCGGAGTGCAGTGGCATGATCACGGTTCACTGCAGCCTCAACCTCTCGGGCTCACGTGATCCTCCCACCTCATCCTCCAGAGTAGCTGTGACTACAGGTACATGCCATCACAAATGGCTAATTAAAAAAAAAATTATTTATTTTTTTTGGTAGAGATGGGGTCTCACTGTGTTGCCCGGGCTGGTCTCAAACTCTTGGGCTAAAATGATCCTCCTACGTCAGTCTCTCAAAGTGCTAGGGTAAGAGGCATGAGCCATCACACCAGGCCAGAAATGTTATTTTAGAGATACTATGTAACCAAAATTTTTAGTGTTTTTAGATTTATGTAATAATAGCTTTATAAAAAATGTTTACCATTTTTCATTTAGTAATGTGTGTCACTGG